>NC_000010.11:19555454-19706969 GCF_000001405.40 Homo sapiens | reverse complement strand
GGGTTACTGGAAGTTGTCAGTGTAAAGGTATGCTGACAGACCTGTCACTCCAAGTAGCCAGGTGGAATTAGGTTGCAGGAAGGAATCCAGGATTATGAATATCCAGTTCTCCCTATTTTTCCTGTCTCAAGGTGCTCCAGTGTGGTCAAACATAATGCAAATTCAGATGACAGGGAGCCCATTAATGAAATCCATAAAAGCCAGCTCCTAGATCCAACTGCTATCCTTCTCTGTCTAGTTGGTGGACAATGGGTGGAGGGTGGATCTGAGAGGGAGACAGGAGACAACACTCGGCCCTTTTTTTCCTTTTTAAACATAAATTACAGGTGGTGGCTCATACCTGTAATCCTAGCACTTTAGGAGGCCGAGGTGGGCAGATCACCTGAGGTCAGGAGTTTGAGACTAGCCTGGCCCATGTGGCAAAAATCCTGTCTCTACTAAAAATACAAAAATTAGCCAGGCGTGGTGGCAGGCACCTGTAATCCCACCTACAAGGGAGGCTGGGGAGACTGAGGCAGGAGAATCACTTGAACCCGGGGCCAAGGGGGGCGGGGGCAGAGGTTGCAGTGAGCTGAGATCACACCACTTCACTTCAATCCAGCCTCTAGCCTGGGCGAAAGAGCAAAAGTCCATCTCAAATAAAATAAAATAAATGAAAATAAAATAAATGAAAATCTCTTTTGTTAGCTTTCAAAGACCTTAACCACGTCTCTACAACACACTTTTCTAAGTGTAATCTGTTTCCCTTCCCAGAGTCTCTAGCTGTGTTCATCGTTTTTGAAACCACAAGTTTCTGCATTTTCTTTTATTTTCTTGAACTCCCTTTCCGCATCTCTACCAGATTTCTCCATCCTTCAGATCTCAATCCAAATGCTATCTCCTTTTACAGCCCTGTGAATTCATCCATCCAAATTGCTGGCTTTCCAGTATCTTTCAATACTGGAAGCTCTTCAATACTGCTGGCTCTTCAGTATCCAGTATGACCTTCAAGTCATATATCAAGGTGCACCTCTCATTTGACTCTGAACAAGGAGGTCTAACTTCATGAAATCTCTGGAAAAAGGGTAAGGGGTAGAATGTTTTCTGGGTGGAATAAATAATGACTGGCTTGAAAAAAATGCTTTCTTTCCTTTGAAGCCTCTCTTGTGGGCTTTTTTTTTTTTTTACTATTGCAGGACATGAGAACAAGGTTAGGGATTAAGGAAAAAATCAGAGATCAGGCTGTTTAGGCTTCTCTTTTAAAATAGAAAAGAAGAAAAAAGGAGGAGGAGGAGGAGGAATAGGTGGCGCAGGAGGAATAGAAAGAGGAGGAGGAGGAGGAGGAGGAATCATGCTGGTGGCCTAACCCTGTTTTTAAGGGTAAGATTTCAAAACCCTGTACTCAATTTCCCTTTTCTTGCTCAAAGTTAACATTTAGCAGGATTGTCAGAGCGTGGCCAATACATGCACAAGGGACTGGGATTTGGGAGTGAGGTTTGTGGATCTCAAACTGTGAGAACAGCTTTACTTCTTGTAGGCGAAGGCACATGTGGACACGTGGAGAGAGTAACGGTTTTGCCAGCATTATGAGATGACCTCGGTCACTGTGCTAGTGAAATTCCAGTTTGCTAAGGCTAAGTATTTCTGGGACCAGGACATGCTCACTCGTGACACTCTAGCTGCAAAAGCAGCTGTATGCCTTGAGGTATAGAGTAAGCAAGATTTTGATTTTTGCTAAGGATAAATATTCATCGGTGGGCGCAGACTAGGCCTATCTAGGGATGTCAGGCTTGGATAGCAGCTAAACTTCTGCCTTCAAGGATTCACATTATCATACAAATGTTTGCAGTGAGAAAGGGTCTGATAGAGAGAATATAATATTACAGGAACAGATATTTCATTTGGGGCCAGGGCCAACCATTCAAGAATCTCAAACAATATTCTGTACCTCTCACGGGGTTAGCTAGTCCAAGATTTGGGATCCTAATCACCTTTCTTTCTTTTTTTGTAGAGACAGGGTTTTGTCATGTTGCTGTAGCTAGTCTTGAACTCCTGGGTTCAAGTCACCTGCCTGCCTCGTTCTCCCAAAGTGCTGGGATTACAGGCATGAGCACCCACTCCTGGCCTCTTTCTTTCCTTATCAGAAATATAAACAAGCATCATTCTCTTGATCATTCTTTCCTTCCATTTTACCACCAAAGTATTTTGGTTTACATTTCTATCATAGCATTCATCAGAGTCAAACATATATTATAACTGAACATATTCAGATGAACCAGAAAGTGAGGGTATTATTTGCTGACACAAAGGAAGTCTTAATAAACGTTTGTGGAAGGGAATTATGAGACTTGCTCCACATCACTTTCACATCTTATAATTTCCTACTCAACCATCTTTCTACTATTGCATACTTACTGTGATGAACTGAACATTTGTGTCCCCCCAAATGTATATCTTGAAGCCCTATTAAAGCGACGGCATTAGGAGGTGGGGCCCTTGGAAGTAATTTGGCTTACATGAGGCCACGATGATGGCCCCCTCATGCCCTTATAAGAAGGCAAAGAGGCTCCAGATCTTTCTCTCTTTGCCATGTAATAATACAAAGGAAGGTGGCTGCCTGCAAGCCAGAGAGAGGGTCCTCACCAGAAACTGAATCTGCCAGTTCCTGGATCTTAGACTTTTTAGCCTCCAGAACTGTGAGACTTAAATGCTTGTTTATACCACCGAGTTTATGGTATTTTGTTGCAATAGCCCAAACTGACTTACGATTCTATGAAATTACTTAGAATACTTCCAGATCTAAACTTTTCAAACAACTTTTCACATGAATATATGTTATTTCTCAGCATAGCTAAAAAAAAATTCTGATTTTTAACTTTTGTTAGTTTATTTACTAAATTAGTACAATGCTTCAAGAGGATATGCCCCAATGCTGAATAGTAAACATTTATTGCAAATGTTTCCCCAGTCAAAGATACAGTCTAAAAAGGAAAGCAATGGGCATAGTCAGGCTGCTGGTAAGGTAAGAATAAACGGCTTACTGTTTATTTTTACCCTTTATTTTGCAATTTTTATTTTATTTATTTATTTGTTTTTGAGTCAGAGACTTGCTCTGTCACCTAGACTGGAGTGCAGTGGCACAATCTCAGCTCACTGCAACCTCCGCTTCCTGGGTTCAAGTGGTTCTCCTGCCTCAGCCCTCTGAGTAGCTGGGATTACAGGGACCTGCCACCACCCCTGGCTAATTTTTGTATTTTTAGTAGAGATAGGGTTTTGCCATGTTGGCCAGGCTGGTTTTGAACTCCTGACCTCAAGTGATCCACCCGCCTTGGCCTCCCAAAATGCTGGGATTACCAATGTGAGCCACTGCACCAGACCTATTTGTACCCTTTAATCTTGATTTACAGATATAGATTTGATGATTACATCTCTCTTCTTTTACTATGAACTCTTGAAGGCTGCTGTATTTCCTGCTTCCTTGAAGGTGTCATGAATGAGAATCTGGAGTATTTTAAGCCATGAGGATAGATGTAGAAGACAGCTTTCAGAGATCTTTCATGATGACTTCTTTTTTGGCCCATCCCTGCCACGAGAGTGCCTTGGTATATTTCCCTGTAGCTATGGTGTGCTGTGGCCCTCGCCCCATATACAATCAACCTCTAGGTAACACTACTTTGTTACAGGGACAGGAAGCAGAGGAAATACACCTGCAGAGAGAGAATCAAAACAGACGAGCAAAAAGAAACAGAGATGAGAGGCAGATGAAGAATTCCTCTGGCTCAGGCCTTTCTGAGGCCCCACTCATTCATTCCCACCCTTGAGCTCTGTGAGACATCCTGTGTCTTTACCCTAAATTCTTTATTTTGATCAAATCATCTTGAGTTGCTTTTTTTCCCCTGTAATCAAAGTGTCCACACTAAGAGATTAGGTGGCAAGTAGCTAAAAGAAGAGTCACAGAATGTATAATAAAATCCAGGAAATCAAATCTCTAACAACAACTTTAAGAGGCTTGTTCCTGTGCTTAGCTTTCTCTGAGCACACCATGCTCCATTCCATGTTTTTAAAAAGCAATACAAAAGTTTACTTCAAGTTATTGAAGTCCTCTTACGCCACAGATTCTTTGTACAAAATTTAATGAAAAATCTTAAGGTTAAGGTTAATTTCGAGAGGGTGATGGTTTTCTGCTTACATGAAGTTCTGTGTATCTCAAGGTTTTGGCATTATTTTCAAGGTGAGCCACGTTATTTCATTTAGCCATCTCTTGCCCAAACATTTTAACTTACTTTAGGGCTTAAATGATTTCATGCAAAAAGACTGATTTTGAAGTTTAACTTGTAATATCATTATGTGGATGTAATCAATGGATATAAGCAATGGTTTTGGTGATGCTTTCAATTAGATAATCTTAAATAAATTCTAGATAATCTTCGGCAATCATATATTGGATACAAATTATGCATACAATCCCAGATACCAGAAATATAAAAATAAGGATTAATATGGAAATAGCTGTTACAACATGATGTCATCATTGCTATAACATTGTTGCTGAGGAAAGCATTACTGAGTGACTCACCCTGACAGGATGGCAGGAAATATTTGCCTGGTATCCAATATATGTGCGGTTGAATAGCTCTGCCAGGCAGAGGGCATGAATAGTCATATGCTTTTTGGGAATAGTGAGACTTTTCCCAAGAGTAGGGTGTGGAAGAATGGGAACAGTGAAAAATTAAACTTGCTGTAGTGGTTTTTGAACATTATCACTTGAATATTTCCTAAAATAATTTTGAAAAGCTATGCATCTCCTTTTGCATCTTTAAGTTCATATCTAAGACATTTACTATAAATTTACATTTCTAACATATTCTATGTTGTAGACGTGCTTTAAATATAATAGCACGAAATTCTGAATATTTAAGTTGAGCTCCTTAAAACTAGATGAATTGACTTTCATTTAATCTAAAGGACAAAGCCAGTCGGGCTGTCTGTCCAGTCAATGAAATAAGAATTTTCTTTTGAGAAGTTTAAGTTTATTGTCCAACTCAATTAGAAATGTTAAAATATGTCCTAGCACAATCATCTCTATTGACTGCGATTTCTAATTCTAAGGGGTGAGAAGAGAAAGGAAGAAGAGAGAGAAGGGAGGAGGGAGAAGGGAGAAGGTGAGGGATGGAGAAGAGAAAGAGAAAAGAAGAAGGAGGAAAAGGGGGAGGGAGAAGAAGAGAAGGGGAAGGGAGAGGAAGGGAGGGGAGGGGAAGGGGAAAGGGAGGGGGAGGGTAGGGGAGGGGAAGAGGAAGGGGAGGGGAGGAAAGGGAAGGGAAGGGAAGAGAAATACAGAAACTTGGTAAAGGTTTATCTCCTGCTCCTTTTTCCATATTGCTTGTCTCAAATCTCATCTTTTGCTACTTAAGTTTCTTTTTTGGGTGCTTCAGTACCTGACTGTCCCTCTGCTCCCTTCGTCCAGGGTGTATTCCTCCATCGCCCCAACCCAGTTTTGAGATAAAGAAAAGGACATATGAGAAAGAGGAAATGACAAAGAAGGCACAGCAGGCTGGTACACCTTCCTCAATCAGATACCTTTCAGAAGAGAATATATGACATTTGAGCATCTGCAAAATGATTCCCCAGAACTATCCGGGCCGCATCCACTTATGAGGTCACTGAGGCCTGAGAGTAAGGATCTGAGGATCTGAAGACCTGAGAGTAAGGATCTGAGGATCTGAAGACCTTGAGTAGGCTGAACCTTTGGGTCTGCCTAGCCATCTGCTAGGCTGGTCTGCTTCCTTTAAGGGACTCCTCTCTCTCTTTCTCTCTTTTTAATTTATTTTATGTTATTTTTAGAGAGACAGGGTCTTGCTTTGTCACCCAGGCTGGAGTACAGTGGCACAATCACAGCTCATTGCAGCCTTGACCTCCCAGGCTCAAGCAATCCACTCAACTCTGCCTCCGGAATAGCTGGGACTACAGGCACGTACCACCATGCCTGGCTAATTTTTGTATTTTTTTGTAGAGGTGGGGTTTTGCTATGTTGCCCAGGGTAGTCTTGAGCTAAAGATCCCTCACCTTGGCCTCCCAAAGTGTTGGGATTACAGGTATGAGCCACTGCACCCAGCCTGAGGGAATCCTTCTCTCTTGAGTGCAACTTGTAAGAACTTCATTATCTTGGTCCTAAGAGCAGGTGTGGATCAAATGACTCAAAAGATCACTAAGACTGACAAAAGTCTTGGGTGATAATTGTTTTTGGCAGTCATAGGGAAAAAAGCCTTTTGTTTGGAGATTACGGAAATCAGAAGAGAAGGTATGAAGGAA
Source organism: Homo sapiens (assembly GCF_000001405.40). NCBI lineage: Eukaryota > Metazoa > Chordata > Mammalia > Primates > Hominidae > Homo > Homo sapiens. The sequence goes on along the minus strand of NC_000010.11, from coordinate 19,700,681 downwards.
AGGGAAAATGACAACAGGAAAATAATCAGAGGGTTAGAGACAGATATTATCTTGGACCTAACCCACTTCTATTAGGTAGCAGAGACCAAGACTTGAGTCACTCATGGATCGAGTATCACAACAAGGTAGTTTAAAAATATGAAAGTGCTCCTATTTTTTGCAATTATTCATTTCTTTCATATTTTATCAACCTCCTTCCTTCCTGGTCCAGTTCGTCTATCTTGGGCAAATTTCATAAATTTATGGTCACTTTTAATGATTAAAACTTAGTCCAGTCCCCTTTAAAGTTGTCAAATAAAACCAAATTCCAACCTCTATTTGCCTCCTACCCTTTCCTCATGGCAGGTTGCAGATTTGTAGAAGGCTGCTGCCTCGAGCAAGGAAAAGGGGGAAGGTTATGTTCTGGCTCTGAAGCATGCCCCTCTCTTTTGTCAAGGCTTAGCTGTAAGGTGTAGTAGAGACAGAGAAGAGATGGAAACAGAGGGTGGAAACTTCTTCGGTAACTTGTTACTTGTCAACAGTAGGGAGGTGTCTTCTATTGCAGTGGGTTAATGTAGTTCTGACTTTTTGGCTTGACTTTTCTGTTGTTGTGGCCTTCATGGTGACAGTGTAATGATTTCGTGTGTGTGTGTGTGTGTGTGTGTGTGTGTGTGTGTGTGTCTAAATCAATTTCACTTGGGACCCTTCTATCATTGGATGTCTTTTGATATACTATGATATATTAATAGTTTGGTTATTTGTTGCCACCCAAATCTCATGTTGAATTGTAATCCCCAGTGTTGGAGGTGGGGCCTGGTGGGAGGTGTTTGTGTCATGGGAGCAGATCCCTCATGACTTGGTGCTGTTCTTACTGTAGTGAGTGAGGTCTCACCAGATCTGGTCGTTTAAAAGTGTGTGGCACTTCCCCCCTACTCTCTCTCTCCTGCTCCTGTTTTCACCATGTGACGTGCAAGCTCCTGCCTTGCCTTCTGCCATGAGTAAAAGCCTCCTGAAGCCTACCCAGAAGCAGATGCTGGTGCTATGCTTCCTATATAGCCTGCAGAACTATGAGCCAATTAAACATCTTTTTAAATAAATGACCCAGTTTCAGGTATGTCTTTGTAGCAATGCAACAATAGCCCAATACACCTTTTAAAGGAAAGGTAGCTGTGTCTACCTTCAGCTCAACCCTGCCCCTATTGCCCTCTCCAGGAAGGGCATCACCTCACCCGAATGAGCACTGCCTGAACAACCCTACAGTTCCAATTTATCTCTATTTTCCATGTTTCCTCAAATGGACTGAAAGTAAACTCCAGCTTTCACGTCTTCCGTGGATCTGCATAACTGAGACATAGTACAATTTCCTCCCTCCTACCTTTCCCTCCTTTCCCTCCTTTCCCTCCTTTCCCTCCTTTCCCTCCTTTCTCCACAGTACAATTTTCTCCCTTCCCAGGTACATATTACACCATGGTCTTTATTATTATTATTATTATTATTATACTTTAAGTTCTGGGATACATCTGCAGAACGTGCAGGTTTTTTACACAGGTATACATGTGCCATGGTGGTTTGCTGCACCCATCAACCCGTCATCTAGGTTTTAAGCCTTGCAGGCATTAGGTATTTGTCCTAATGCTCTCCCTCCCCTTGTCCCTCACCCCCCAACAGGCCCCGGTGTGTGATATCCCCTCCCTGTGTCCATGTGTTCTCATTGTTCAACTCTCACTTATGGTAAGAACATGCGGTGTTTGGTTTTCTGTTCCTGTGTTAGTTTGCTAAGAATAATGGTTCCCAGCTTCACCCATGTCCCTGCAAAGGGCATGAACTCATTCATTTTTTATGGCTACATAGTATTCCATACCACAGTCTTTTTAAGACTTGCTGGGACAGAATACTCCAGTGGCCATCTACTTTCAAAACATTAAGCCAAAAATTGTCTTTACACTCCTAGCAACGTTTTCTTTACTCTCTACTCTGATGCAGCTCCGGGGAGATTTTTGTAGATTTTGCACCTGTTTTCTAGGCATCATCAATCTAAACTATTGTTCTTTTGGAGTCTTTCCATCATTGGTTTTGGGTAGTGCTGGTGATGGTATCTTCCTCTCCTTCCCCATTTCTTCTCCCAGGAAAGAGGAAAAACTTCTCACCAAAGATACCGCACTATTCAAAAGACAATAACTTCAAAAACTCTCATCCTCCTTTCTTTCCAGTTGCCTCCTAGTATAGACTGGGAAGAGGAAAGAGATGGTTCAACAGAGATGGTTCTGCTTCCCTTTGTGAGCCTCAGGGATTTGTGCCTGACCCCAATTATTAGTAGTCTTTGGCAGTTCAAAGAACATGTGTTACTTGGACCTCTTATTTGAGGGGTGTAGCCACTTTTACTCAATTCCTTGTGATACTTGTGTATGAGGGATTGATACTATTAGAGTTCTGATGTGTTTGGTAAGACAATAAAAACAGCTATATCTGAGCTTTACACCTCAAATGATCATGGTACCCTTTATTCCTCAGGCTTCAAAGGTAGATTCCAGGATATAGAAATTATAAGCACTAATATCTCATATGTTAAGGTCAAAGTAGTTAGAGAAATATTCAGCTGGAAAGTCTAACAAATGGTTGAAAGCACGGTATGGATCTGGAGCTTGGAAAAATATTTCAGTAACAGAGAGATCTGACTTGAAGGCATTTACATCTAGATGTCACTTAAAACCTTGGAAATGAATGACATCTATGGAGAATGTGTAGAGGAGGAAGAAAAGTGGATGGAGAGGCAAACCCTGGGGAATCTAAATAAGTTACTGGAAGAAAATACTTTTAAAAACAGGGAGACAGAAGAAAAATTGAGGTTAAGAGAAGATGGACAAAGAAATAGGGAAAGGGTAAATAGGAGTAGAGCCTGGCAAAGAAAGAAGGTAAGAAGCAAAGAGAAAGGAACATGTAAAATTAAAGAAAATGAGAGAAATAGAAGAGAGCAAGAGAGGTGGCTCTGCTGGGCTGTGGCATAATGCCACCAATATTTGCCCGAGGGTCCTCTCAATAACTTCCATATGATAGGCTGTTCAACATGAATCTGGAGAAACTGTGAAATTTAGAATTATTTTGGAACGCTCTTGCTGGGGGTGTGAAAATGACAGCTTGCTTCTATATTATGAAAGTAAACTTTTTGTGTTAACTTGGCTAGGCTATGATGCCCGATTGTTTGGTCAGACACTAGTCTAGAGGTTGCTGTGGAGGTAGTTTTCAGACATGATTAACCTTTATAATCAGTTGACTTTAATTAAGGCACATGGCCCTCCATAATGGGGGCGGGGGCGGGGGCTCAAGCGCAGACTGGGATTTCCTTATGAAGAAAGGGTTCTGCCTCAAGACTGAGATGCAAAACTCTGTCAGAGTTTCCTGCCTGGTGGTTTGCCCTGTAGATTTTAGACTCAAGACTGGACCATCAACTCTTACTTGGATTTCTAGTCTGCTGGTCTGCCTTACAGGTTTCAAGCTTGCCAGTCCCCACAATTGCATGAGACAACTCCTTAAATCTCTCTCTCTCTTTCTCTTTCTCTCTCTGTCTCTATCTCTGTATCCTATTTTTATGTGTGTTTTTCTGGAGAAGCCAGACAAATACACTAGTATTTCACCTAGTGGTTTATGTATCTGCTTCTTTCCCTAGATTACAAACTTCTTAAAGTCTAGACTGCTTCTCATTCATGTTTGTGTTCATGTTGTCTAGCATATTGTAGGCTCATAAAAAATAATTAAAGAATTACTAATGAATAAGATAGTCTTTTTTTGTTTTCTGGAGTCTCACTTTGTCACCCAGGTTGGAGTGTGGTGGCGTGACCTCAGCTCACTGCAACCTCTGCCTCCCAGGTTCAAATGATTCTCCTGTCTCACTCTCCCAAGCAGCTGGGATTACAGGCATATGCCAACACACCAGGCTAATTTTTTTTTTTTTTTAATTTTGGGCAGAGATGGGGTTTCCTCATGTTGGCCAGGCTGGTCTTGAACTCCTGACCTCAAGTGATCTGCCCATCTTGGCCTCCCAAAGTGCTGGGATTACAGTTATGAGCCACTGTGCCTGGACCAAGATAGTCTTAATGGATTAAAAATATCATTTTTTTTCTAATGAACACCATAATTCTATAATAACCTTGCTATAATTGCTGTTATCAAGATAGCTGTCTGCTTATTCACATGACTGCAGGCTGAAGATCTGAAGAGAATTCATCAGGCGGTTGTATAATTTGACATCAAGGAAAACAGTGAATTATCCTTTGCTCTGTGACATATTTGGTGTTGCAGCAGATCTGAATTTCTGACCACAAACTCAGGTGTTCAAGATATGATGTATATCTTTAATTTCTAAAAATGTTATTAAATCTTTTAGTGAGCCCTTATCTTGCTGAGTTCATAAAAGCCAGTCACATTTGTTACTTGGTTTACTTGGAACCCATACTAGGAATGAGAAAATGGGTAATGGGTTGAAAAGATCCAGGACCCTTAGTGGCACTGTTGATTGGCAGGGTCTCTGAGTCTTGCATGAGCCCAGCCTGCAGAGTTCCTTCATGCAGATGCAGCAGCTCTTGGCCCCTGTTTTGCACATGCTCAGTACATGGGATGCTTGGGCTAAAACATTAGTGCCACGAGTCCTGCCTCCCTATGTGATATGGTTCAGCTGTGTCTCCACCCAAATCTCACCTTAAATTGTAATAATTCTCATGTGTCATTGGAGTGACTTGGCGGAAGGTAATTGAATCATGGGAGTGAGTTTTTCCCATGCTGTTCTTATGATAGTGATTACGTCTCACAAGATCCAATGGTTTTATAAAGGGGAGTTCCCCTACACAAGCTCTCTTGCCTGCTGCCATGAAAGACATGCCTTTGGCGCCGGGCACGGTGACTCATGCCTGTAATCCCAGCACTTTGGGAGGCTGAGGCAGGTGGATTACGAGGTCAGGAGTTTGAGACCAACCTGGTCAAGATGGTGAAACCCTGTGTCTACTAAAAATAAAAAATAAAAAATTAGCCGGGCATGGTGGCAGGTACCTGTAATCCCAGCTACTCAGGAGGCTGAGGCAGAAGAATCATTTGAACTCAGGTGGTGGAGGTGGCAGTGAGCTGAGATTGTGCCACTGCACTCCAGCCTGGGCAACAGAGTGAGACTCCATCTCAAAAAAAAAAAAAAAAAAGAAAGAAAAACATGCCTTTGCTTCTCTTTTGCCTTCTACCATGATTGTGAGGCCTCCCCAGCCATATGAAACTGTGAGTCCATTAAACTTCTTTCCTTTATAAATTATGCAGTCTTGGTATGTCTTTATTAGCAGTGTGAGAAAAGGCTAATACACTGCGTAAGCAAAGAAATAATTTCCTTTGCCGTTCTGCTATCTTCCCCAGGCACCACCAGTAATGGCAAATCTAGCCCCTCATCTCTTTTTAGTCGGTGGATAATGTCATATATAAATATTTCATATATATTTATATAGTTTTTATTATACTTTAAGTTCTAGGGTACATGTGCATGACGTGCAGTTTTTTACATATGTATACATGCACCATGTTGGTGTGCTGCACCCATTAACTCATCATTTACATTGGGTATATCTCCTAATGCTATGCCTCCCCACTAGCCCCACCCCATGACAGGCCCCGGTGTGTGATGTCACCCTTCCTCTGTCCAAGTGTTCTCATTGTTCAGTTCCCACCTGTGAGTGAGAACATGTGGTGTTTGGTTTTTTGTCCTTGTGGTAGTTTGCTGAGAATGATGGTTCCCAGCTTCATCCATGTCCCTGCAAAGGACATGAACTCATCATTTTTTATGGCTGCATAGTATTCCATGGTGTATGTGTGCCACATTTTCTTAATCCAGTCTATCATTGTTGGACATTTGGCTTGGTTCCAAGTCTTTGCTATTGTGAATAGTGCCGCAATAAACGTACATGTGCATGTGTCTTTATAGCAGCATGATTTATATCCCTTTGGGTATATACCCAGTAATGGATGGCTGGGTCAAATGGTATTTCTAGTTCTAGATCCTTCAGGAATTGCCACACTGTCTTCCACAATGGTTGAACTAGTTTACAGTCCCACCAACAGTGTAAAACTGTTCCTATTTCTCCAGATCCTCTCTAGCACCTGCTGTTTCCTGACTTTTTAATGATCGCCATTCTAACTGGTGTGAGATGATATCTCATTCTGGTTTTGATTTACATTTCTCTGATGGCCAGTGATGATGAGCATTTTTTCATGTGTCTGTTGGCTGCATAAATGTCTTCTTTTGAGAAGTGTCTGTTCATATCCTTCGCCCACTTGTTGATGGGGTTGTTTTTTTCTTGTGAATTTGTTTGAGTTCTTTGTAGATTCTGGATATTAGCCCTTTGTCAGATGAGTAGATTGCAAAAATTTTCTCCCATTCTGTAGGTTGCCTGTTCACTCTGATGGCGGTTTCTTTTGCTGTGCAGAAGCTCTTTAGTTTAATTAGATCCCATTTGTCAATTTTGGCTTTTGTTGCCATTGCTTTTGGTGTTTTGGACATGAAGTCCTTGCCCATGCCTATGTCCTGAATGGTATTGCCTAGGTTTTCTTCTAGGGTTTTTATGGTTTTAGGTCTAACATTTACGTCTTTAATCCATCTTGAATTAATTTTTGTATAAGGTGTAAGGAAGGGATCCAGTTTCAGCTTTCTACATATGGCTAGCCAGTTTTCCCAGCACCATTTATTAAATAGGGAATCCTTTCCCCATTGCTTGTTTTTGTCAGGTTTGTCAAAGATCAGATGGTTGTAGATGTGTGGTATTATTTCTGAGGGCTCTGTTCTGTTCCATTCGTCTATATCTCTGTTTTGGTACCAGTACCATGCTGTTTTGGTCACTATAGCCTTGTAATATAGTTTGAAGTCAGGTAGCGTGATGCCTCCAGCTTTGTTCTTTTGCCTTAGGATTGACTTGGCAATGCGGGCTCTTTTTTGGTTCCATATGAACTTTAAAGTAGTTTTTTCCAATTCTGTGAAGAAAGTCATTGGTTGCTTGATGGGGATGGCATTGAATCTATAAATTACCTTGGGCAGCATGGCCATTTTCACAATATTGATTTTTCCTATCCACGAGCATGGAAGGTTCTTCCATTTGTTTGTGTCCTCTTTTATTTCCTTGAGCAGTGGTTTGTAGTTCTCTTTGAAGAGGTCCTTCACATCCCTTGTAAGTTGGATTCCTAGGCATTTTATTCTCTTTGAAGTAATTGTGAATGGGAGTTCACTCATGATTTGGCTCTCTGTTTTTCTGTTATTGGTGTATAAGAATGCTTGTGATTTTTGCACATTGATTTTGTATCCTGAGACTTTGCTGAAGTTGCCTATCAGCTTAAGGAGATTTTGGGCTGAGACGATGGGGTTTTCTAGATATACAATCATGTCGTCTGCAAACAGGGACAATTTGACTTCCTCTTTTCCTAATTGAATACCCTTTCTTTCTTTCTCCTGCCTGATTGCCCTGGCCAGAACTTCCAACACTATGTTGAATAGGAGTGGTGAGAGAGGGCATCCCTGTCCTGTGCCAGTTTTCAAAGGGAATGCTTCCAGCTTTTGCCCATTCAGTATGATATTGGCTGTGGGTTTGTCATAAATAGCTCTTATAATTTTGAGATATGTCCCATCCATACCTAATTTATTGAGAGTTTTTAGCATGAAGGGCTGTTGAATTTTGTCGAAGGCCTTTTCTGTATCTATTGAGATAATCATGTGGTTTTTGTCTTTGGTTCTGTTTATATGCTGGATTACATTTATTGATTTGTGTATGTTGAACCAGCCTTGCATTCCAGGGATGAAATTATATATATATATATATATAATTTCATCTATATATAAATTTCATATATATATAATTTCATATATATATAAATTTCATATATATATATATACGCCCTCAAAAAGGCTCCTAATATAATCTGAAAAGTAAACTTCAGGCTTTATACTAAAAAAAGAAGAGAAATTCTTGTTAGGTAGCTCCTCTTTTCTGCCCAGAAAAATAAATCCATAAAGCAGCAAAACACTAAAGTTTCCTGCATGTAATATGGAGTGAAAGAAAAAAATAGCAAAGGAAATGTTGAAGAAAATTTTTCTGCTACGGTATATTTCATTTAGCAACTAAAGGCATCACTTACCTTATTGGTACCTTTCTGTTTGCAAGAAAACACAAGACTGCAACTGTGATGTGAGTCATCAGGAATGCTAATCCAATACCCAGGAGAGTCCATGTATCTGGAATTTTAAACCAAAGAAAAAGATAAATATGCAGTGAAATATATTAGAGACCACCCCAAACCAAGCCATTTATTTAGTCATAATGTCACCTACTATTCTGAGCGTATGTGAAGTCTGTAGCAGGAGGATTAAACTTGATATGGCATCGATTTCCTTTCCAGCCTTGTCTACATCTGGAAAGGAGATAAAATAAAATAGTTGGAAAAAAGAAAAGTGAAAAGATATTTGAACACAACTGGCATGGGATAAAATCATGAATGTCAATAAATAACGAGATACTAGGAACATGGATAACTTTGATAAAAAACCAAAAACTTTAAGCCAAAGCAAAACCAAAATTAAATTGTATTATTTTCATATCATTGTGTAAGATAATTTTCTTCAATATTCATCTTCTTGACTTTATAAGGTAGAAACATGGTTTCCACATCGTTCTTTGTTTTTAAAAATTGACTCATTTTTCACCAGTGTCCAATATTACTTTACTTTATCCATCATTTGCCTCAAATCCAAAAGGCAGCACATTTTTCTATAGTGAAGAGATTCAAGTCATTTCAGAAAACCAACAGAGCAGATTCAAATTTTACATTACCATAAATACAAACCAAAGAACACATTTATTTCTCATTACAAAGGGATAATCCTTCAAGTGTTTAGATTTGGAAACAGGTTAATAATCTCATTTGATGTACTAGTAAATTCTCAGACACTTACAAGGGTTCCATCACCTTTGTTTTATTTAGGGATGTACATGATGAAACTTTTAACACTGGTACGGATGGTCTTGAGAAAGTTACGAATGAAAGAGTACCTTCTGCCTCTAAGGGATAAGGTTTATTGCTAAGCAGTAAATGTATTGAAATTTTTCTGGTAGTATCTGAAAGTTCATGTATACACACTTGTTTAACATCAGTAACAGGATACAAATTACGAAGGGTTTGGTCAAATTTCCTGCCACCTTCACAGTACATGCTACAAAATAGGATGAAAACGTAGCTTTTGAATATGAGTGTATAAAAACTGAGTGTTAGAAGCAATGCTTCTTCAGTACAATGTATTGAATTTTCACTTAATCACTTTTAAATTTGAAAATTTGTATGCTCAAAAGTAATTCCTTCACAAAAGCAATCAGCTTCTTTAAATATAAAAAGCGTGGAGGTTCATGGAGGCCTATCAGAATGCCTTTCTTTCTTTAGCAAATATTATTTTAAAAGTAGAAATGAAGATAATTTCATTGTTTTAACGTTTCTGCAATTCAAGTTAAAATAAATTAGAATTGTGAGAGATTGGGGTATTTGTTTTTTTCCCTCACAATCCTTAAGATGCATTCCTTGTCAGTCCTCATTTGACCTTGTGAATCCTACTTGTCAATCTTTCACACGTGCACACACTGGTATGATCTAGAGATGGGGACACATTTTCACTCTGAGTTAATTCAATTCCTTTAAATGTTGATAGTGCCACTTTCCTGGCATCAGGGCTACAGTAATCATCTTAGACAAATAGTACACTTTTGAATGTGCCTATTGATAAATTTTAGTGGAAAACTGTCTTGGATTACCAGTTAAAAAAATAATGGAGAAACCTAAGACATATGGAGAAAGAATATGAATGCTGTCTGTCTGTCTATCTATCTACCTACCTATCATTCTTTCATTCTATCTTCTATCCATCTATCTATTATCTACACTGCCTATTTATCTAAATGTATATATATTTATATTTATATATAGAACCTGGTGATGAACAAATAGAGTACTGGTGGCCTTTTGACAGTTGTATGGAGAGTTAAACTAGACTGAAATAATTCTTATGTTAATTTTACAGAAAATACACATAGAATGAGGGATAAAACAAAAAATAAAGATAGAAAATTTTCTCTTATTGACAGAAGTTTGCCTATAAAAATAAAAATAACAGAAAGATTTGGTGAGAAATAAACCTCGTCACCCATTTAGAGGCCCAGGATATTCTCCAATTCTGAACTTTGTAAAGTCCTGCCCATTCTAGTGTTAGAAGTTTTATTATGTATGTTTCTAAATAAAACAAAGGAATTGGAATCTTCATAGGGATCTTCCTTCCGATAGCTATGGAAATATATACTACTAATTGATTGATTGATTTTCCACAGAGCAGTTATGCTATAGAACAAATTAAAGTAATATCATCCTATCGGTTAACATGAGAAAATAATAGGAAATAAACTACTGTAAGGGTCAAAAGCAGTTTCAAAATATGTTGAATTTTAGTTATTTTTGGCCAAGGAAAACTTCAATTTAATAAGTATGATTTATCCGTATCTTTATTTGTTGTGTATTTGCATAACAAACTGTTACAAAAAAAGATTTTAGAGAAAAATGAATACACTACCCCCCAAAAATTTCCACTTCAGTTTTTCTTGTGTATCAGCCTGCCATCTTGAAACAAAATGATTTCTATACATGTTTTCGAGATAATTTACCTTCTATAAATTTTAATAGATTTCAGTAAATTTTCAAATGGGAGTAGAGATTACTGAGATTTTAAACTTATATGGTGAAATCTATGATTCCAAAAATTTTAGTCAGTAAGTCTGATTATAAATGGATATGGTGCTGCTTGAAGAAAAAACTGCAATCTCCACACTAAAATTCTCAAATTATCCCCTCCTGCATAACAATTTTCCTTGTAAAATCACAAAACTGTCATGGGATAAAATGATGAATGTCAATAAATAATGACATACCAGGAACATGGATAACTTTGAGAAGAAACCAAAAACGTTAAGCCAAAGCAAAACCAAAATAAAATTGTATTATTTTCATATCGTTGTATAAGATAATTTTTTCAATATTCATCTTGTTGACTTTGTAAGGTAGAAACATGGTTTTCACATCTTTCTTTGCTTTTAAAAATTGACTCATTTTTCACCAGTATCCAATATTACTTTACTTTATCCATCATTTGCCTCAAATCCAAAAGGGAGTGCATTTTTCTATAGTGAAGAAAAATGTTCTATAGTGAAGAAAATTTTCCTTGTAAAATGGTCACGTGATGTTTATTACATTAATAACAATATATGCTTGAAGTGTCAAGGAAATTACCCACAAATGTATGTTAAAACACAAACCTTCATGCCTATATGCAATTCTATCCTCCCGAGGTAACTAAGGTATGTCTCCTCCTACTACTTTTACCTTCTCATAGAACACACACACGTACAGATACACACACACACACACAGAGGTATCTATATATCAGTTTTGTATGTGTGTTTCCTGCAATAGAAGCATATTCTTCCCTCTGCACCTAGATTTTTCTCTCAGCGATGTATCATGAACTTTCTTAAGGTCAGATGTCTGTACAAATAACTGTCACAGACATTTATTTTTAGAAATTATCTCCTTGTATGTGTACACATAAATATATATTTTTAGTGCAAACTTTTTGTTGCTGTTGCTTTTCTTTCCTCTTCTTCTTTCCTCTTCACCCCAGTGTATAAAGGTGGAGGGGGAGGAGAAGGGAGAGACATTTGCTTGGTTGCAGAAAGAAGCAAGTGAGAATATTTAACATGCATTTTCATCTTTGTCAAACTAAACCTTCTCCATGGAATATCCAGTGTTCAAAGTAATTGTGGCAGTCTGATCCCTGGATTTCTTTAAAATCTCCCTGAAAGGGGTGAGTTTCCAACCCTTCTAATGGCACGCTGAGAACAGCGTTAATCACATGCTAGAACGGTGTGTTGAAGTTCCACCCATTCTTTGAGCAACAGCAGTGAAAGAAATTTCTCTCCTGCCATCCCCCTGAGTACTGTGGGCTGGAAGCGAAAACAGAAAATCCTGTCTGCACTAACTAGAGCTTGGTGGACTCCCTTATCTTCCAAGCTGACCATAACTACCTATTAAGAATCATTAGGGCTGGGCATGCTGGCTCATGCCTGTAATTCCAGCACTTTGGGAGACCGAGGTGGGAGGATTACTTGAGGCCAGGAGTTTGAGATCAGTCTGGGCAACAGGGAGAGACCTTCTTTACAAAAATTCTAAAAATTAGCCATGCAAGGTGGTGTGCCCCTGTAGTCCTAATTACCAAGGAGACTAAGGTGAGAGAACTGCTTAAGCCCAAGAGTTGGAGGCTGCCGGGAGCTATGCACTGCATTCCAACATGGGTGACAGAGCAAGACCCTGTCTCAGATAATAATAATAATAGGCCGGGCACAGTGGCTCATGCCTGTAATCCCAGCACTTTGGGAGGCCAAGGCGGGCACATCGTCTGAGATCAGAAGTTCCAAGACCAGCCTGGCCAACATGGCAAAACCCCTTCTCTACTAAAAATACAAAAATTAGCTGGGTGTGGTGGCGGGTGCCTGTAATCCCAGCGACGTGGGAGGCTGAGGCAGGAGAACTGCTTGAACCTGGGAGGCGGAGTTTGCAGTGACTCGAGATCACTCCACTGCGCTCCAGCCTGGGCAACACAGTGAGACTCCTTCTCCAAAAATAACATAACATAACATAACATAACATAACATAACATAACATAACATAACATAACATAACATAACATAACATTAAAAAAATAAATAATAATAATTAAGGTGTTTTACAAAGAAAATGTTACAGTGATTTTCTCCATTATTTTTCACATGGAATCTGGGTAGGGAAGCTTAGCTATCTTCCTCATCTATTTATTAGATTGGTGCAAAAGTTATTTCAGTCATTGTCTCTAAAAGGAATGGCCAAAAGCGAAATTAGTTTTGTACCAACTTTCTCAATAGTAAATCAGTAAGATTTGTATAACAAATGAAAAACGAGAAAATGTCTAATCCTGAAGGGATAAAGCAAGTATTTGTTTTTAAGTGGTGTGTTGGGTATTTTTATAGTTGGTTGGGGTAAAGGGTGAAGGCTCCTATAGAGAGAAATAGGACAAGGAAAGTGGATAAGCTCTGTGAAGGTAATTCAGTGGGTTTAGGCTAGGCTGACACCAACCAGAGAAAACCAGTGCAAGTGGGGATATTTTAGGCACAGCTGTGGGAAGCTGAGTGGCTAAGTGGGTTGGTGGGTGGGTATGGGAAATGCTGAACCATTGTCTGAGTCCAGAAAGAAGGATCTTAAAGGAATAGCACAATGAGATTCACCTTATGAGCTTGACAATTACTTAAGGACTAGAAGAGCCCTTTGCAGGTAATCTCTTTGCTATTTCATGACTACACAAGGCTGAATGCAAATATGATTCTGCCCCTTGTGTAATCCAAAAAGATCCATAAAGACCATAAATATTAAATAATACTTGTACTAAGACACATCAGTCTAAATTAGAATGCTTGTTTGTTTTAACGTCAAGAAGAAAAAAAATGTTAGATACGATGTAATTACTTTGGCCATCTTATTATAGGAAATTATTAGAATCAGTTTTACTCATAAAATTAACAATTAAGCTTAATAGGAGGGAAAAAAATCCACTCGTTATTATTTTTTTTTTTTCAAAGAGCACTCACAAGTAAAAAGCATCCCAGGAGGACCTGATGTATTTTGAGCTTTTATGGGGCTCTACATTTTACCACTTCTTTTGTGTGTCTAGTAAGTGTGACTGTAACACTGCGGCATTTCAGCCTTATTTTTTGAACTCTGGAAGTTTAAACTATTACCCAATGTATGTTGCACATGCTGTGGTTGCCGCCTTCAAATTCATTTAGGCTTCCATCCTCACTCCCTACCCTCCACAAATTGTATAGCATTTCCACGATTTGGTTGGGATTGTCACAGTAGGTCGCTAGTCAGATATTAACAGGGCAGGAGAAGGCACCCCTCCACCAGAAATGCCAGGTGACCATCAGGTGATGGTTAGGCAGTTGTTAAGCTGCCTCTCTAAAATAATAATTGGCCACAGCCGGAGCAAGAGAAAGGCAGTCTCCCATTGGATAGAAACACCTGAAACTGGAGATCAGCAGCTTCCTAATAAGATCTCAGGAGTTGAGCAAATGGGCTCACACGTGCACACTAAGAAGCAAAACGGCAGAGTTTAACTGGTATATGACCTTCCTCTAGGGATGTTGGACTGGTAAGGGAAGAACGCCTCGAGTGAGCATGCGCACAACTGCAGCAAACACGCCACGCACGGCCACTCCCAAGCATCAGTGGGCCCCCACACATGCAGACAGCCCACCCCAAGGGAAGAATCAGGGGAGAAGGGATGCAAGACCCTGGAAGTATGCCAACATGTAAAACTCCAAGTCAAACGTCAAAATGTGCTCTTGATCGCTCAAGTTTCCCTCTTGGCCCTCTTCCAGTGTACTTTACTCCTTTTTCATTCCTGTTCTAAAGCTTTTTAATAAATTTTCACTCCTGCTCTAAAACTTGCCTGTGTCTTTCCTCTGTCTTATGCCCCTCGGTGGAACTCTTTCTTCTGAGAAGGCAAGAATGGAGGTTGCTGCAGACCCATAAGAATTCACTGCCTACAGTAACATACTTAGGTGCTGCATGACTCAGATACTCTCCATTGCTAACAGAATTGGACCCTCAACCCAATTCCTAGGGCCATGCCATTTTTCTTGCTGTAATTGGGCTCAGAACCACACCTATCACCGCACGGCATTGCTAATCCATGAGATTGGTTCACAGATAGACATGGATGTAAGTTTGTCCAGTAAGAATTCTGTCACAAAAGGGTACATTTCAATGGATAATTGTGGTAAGAGACCTATTCTCCCCAACTCTGATGTAAAACAGGAAGCATCCAGCTTTCTTAAGGTCAGGTACTCATCTGCTAGGCTGCTACAATAAGCAGCCTAGGGATAAAATCAATTGATAGGAAGACAGAGCCTTCAAAGTCATTGAGAAACAGCAAAATAACTTTGATGGCATTGCAAACTTTTCCATCAGTTCATGTTCCAAGCCTGCTCTGCATGTAGACTTTCAGTTGTATAAGTCAATAAATTCCTGTATCATTTGAGCCAGTTTGAATTGGGTCTTCGATTACTAGCACACACACACATCTACACACAAACTTTAATGCTTCTACTTCTCCATTTTTCTCCCTACAGCTGTTCTCATTAAATCAATAATCCTGTGTTCATAAAATATTTATTGAACATCTACTATGTACAAGATACTCTACCAGATATGTTGAGGATATAAAGATGGACAAGCCACGGCTGGGGAATTTGTAGAAGTATGAACTTAGAAAGAAAATGAAAAATACATGTAAAAATAACTAAGATGCAAAATAGAAAATAAAATAGAAGAAAGATAAAGAAAAGTTCTTAAAGAGAGCATGAAAAAATTGCTTCATGAATCTTTATTTTTCCAGACCTAGAAAGTAAAAAATGTGCAATCTCACCTGGGCATTTATGGACCATGTGATATATTAAATTATATTTATTCCAGGGAAGGAAGTGTTTATATATGTATACTGTATCTGTGCTTTGAAAAAATTGGTTATCCAAGTATATAGAAATCCTATAACTGATTTTTTCTGGAGAGATATATCCAAATATGAGTTGTTAATAGGATCCTACACTAACCTGCAGATTTACTAATTCTGTATCATAGTATACTGATTCCATACCATGCTCAGTCTCTAATTTTGTAGTTTTAAAGGATGTGGAAGAAAAATTCCTTCAGAAGCAGTATGTTTGGAATATATTCCAGATTCGATTTATAATTTTGTTTCACAGTACATAGGCTTGTTTTTCTTTTTAGCAGGTTATATTTATTTATTTATTTGTTTTTGAGTTAGAGTCTTGCTCTGTCACCCAGGCTGGAGTGCAATGGCACAATCTTGGCTCACTGCAACCTCCATCTCCCAGGTTCAACAGATTCTCCTGCCTCAGCCTTCTGAGCAGCTGAGACTACAGGCATGTGCCAGCATGCCTAATTTTTGTATTTTTAGTAGAGACGGGGTTTCGCCATGTTGACCAGGCTGGTCTCAAAATCCTGGCCTCAAGTGGTTCATCTGCCCCAGCCTCCCCAAGTGCTGGAATTACAGGCATGAGCCACCATGCCCAGCCATTAGCAGGTATTTTTTGTAGCAACTCATGTCTATCATGTTGAAAGGTGATGGTGTCGCTCTCCATTTATATTACATGCTTTAGAAATTATATAAAGCCCACCCAATAAGAAATATTTATTGAGCACTTGTTATGTGCTAGACAAGATTCTAAATGCTTTCTCGATTTTTTAATAATATGATAATGTTACAAAGTCAGAATTATTTCCTCATTTCACAGTGGAGAAGATGAAGTCACAGAGAGATGGCGCTGTAAATCACCAAAGGGTGCAATCTGATGGAGATTTTCAACTTTGGCTCTGTTGACCATACGGTTTTGCTTCACTAAAGTTAAAATATGCAGACATAAAAAAGAATGAGTTCATGTCCTTTTCAGGAACGTGGATGAAGCCGGAAACCATCATCCTCAGCAAACTAACACAGGAACACAGGAACAGAAAACCAAACATTGCATGTTCTCACTCATAAGTGGGAGCTGAACAATGAGAACACATGGACACAGGGAGGGGAACATCACACACCGGGGCCTGCTGGGGGGTGAGGGACAAGGGGAGGGAGAGCATTAGGACAAATACCTAATGCATGCTGGGCTTGAAACCCAGATGATGGGTTGATATGTGCAGCAAACCACCACAGCACATGTATACCTATGTAGCAATCCTGCACGTTCTGCACGTGTATCCCAGAACTTAAAGTAAAATAAATAAATAAATAAAAGAATGTATAAAAAATCATTTGTAATGCTAATTAACTTTACAATTTTTATCTGTTATGAGAGCAACACTCTCATAACATAATAAATTTCTGGCTGTAAAGGTCTGAAAATGTCCGTTTATCACATTAAGCCTCATCCTGCAAACATCTCAAGATATAGACAGGCAGCTGTGATGCTGGAAAGAGAAAGGAATGCAGGACTCAGGGCACCTGGAGTTCAAGCTAGACTCTGCTGCTTTCTAGCTATGTGGCTTTGGGAGAGTCAGGCAGATTCAGTTTCCTATTTACGAACTGCAGTAAGTGTCACTCTCAGAATGTGTATGAGAATTAAATATTACGATGCACATGAAAATACATTGTAGACTGTAAAGTGCTATGCCAAGCTATTTGCTACACAATCTTCAGCTTTCTGCTATAAATTCTGGTTGTGGCTTTTCCCCGCTGACCTTAGGACCACATTCCCTAACAGCTTGGCCTGCCAGGGAGCTGGATCTAACAAAGGCAGGCTCCGATCCCATTGTGAGCATTTGGTTAAGACTTAGAAAGAGTAAAAAGTGACTGCCATAGTTTCTGTTTTCATGGCTTACCAATTCTGCCATTTTGAAAACTTCTTTCTTTTTTTTTTTCCGGTAGAGATGGGGTTTCCCCATATTGGCCAGGCTGGTCTTGAACTACGTGGCCTCAAGTGATCTGCCTGCCTCGGCCTCCCAAAGTGCTGAGATTACAGGAGTCAGCCACTGTGCCCAGCCTCAACCCATTTTGATGTCTCAGTAGGCTGGAGGCTTTTGATCCTGTTACACAGGAAAGGGAAGAATCAGCAGGTGCTGAAGATGCTCAGGGCCTGCCATGTACATGACTTTTCCCCATGCCCAGATGAGGTTTCTATCCCATCAGAAGGGCTCCAGGCGGGAGAAAGTACTGCTCTTCCAACTTAACTTGAAAGCTGCAGCTCAGATCGAGTGTTTTCTGGGCCATATGCTGAGCCTCTGTCAGCAGAAGGGGAAATTGAGGTAATCCTCAGCAAGCTATTCTCATTGTCATGGGTGAATTATATCGCAACAAAATGAGAAAGCAAGAGAAGCCACTAAATAATCTCTGAGCCACAAAGCGCTAAAATTCCACATTGAGTAGCAGCGATTAATTTGCTTGGACTAATTTCTTCCACATCTAATTAGCTCTGGCATCTTTCATAATATTTATAAATATTAGGCAGAGCCCACCTGAAAGAGAGAGATAAACATCCCGCTCCATTCATGCATAAGAGCCTGTTTTCTTAACATGAAGAGGAGAAAGGAAAAAATAAAATATAATTGGACGCTTTCAGCCACAGCCAACCTAATCAAATCTTTCTTAAATTCTAACAGGTCTTTTGCTATTAGTAGGTTATAACGAAGGAGTTTTTGAAATAACTTATTTCTGAGTGTGCCTGGTAACACCCATTCATTACTCACTAACACCTGGAACAAAAACTCCTCCCACCCTTATTGTCATTGTGTGCCCATCTCAGCTCATTTGTCTCATTGTCAGAGAAAACAAATGAGGAACCTCACGTTTTCTAAGCATGGGTTCACGATTAATTTGGTAGGAACTGGCAGAGGGTTTACTCAAGTTGATTACTTTTAATCAACTTGAATTGTCCTAATAAGTCTAAAGTAAAAAACAAAAAGTTTTATTTATTTATAATTGTTCTAATAAGTCTGAAGTAAAATAAAGTACTAACACAGAGATATAGTTATTCCATAAAATGTTGGTATCCCAGAAATTAGCTGGGTGTGGTGGTGCATGCCTGTAGTCTCAGCTACAGCTAATGTGGGGAGACAGAGGTAGCAGTGAGCTGAGACTGTGCCATTGCAATCCAGCCTGGAAACAGCAAGACTCTGTCTCAAAAAAAAAAAAAAAAAAGTGACATTCCCCCACAAAAACCCCATCCAAAGGTCAGTAGCCTTAAAGACAAAAGATAGAGAAAGTCATGAAGATGAGAAAGAATCAACGAAAAAATGCAGAAAACTCAAAAACCCAGAGTGCCTCTTTTCCTCCAAATGATCACAACACCTCTCTAGCAAGGGCACAGAACTGGGCTGAGGCTGAGATGGATGAACTGACAGAAGTCGGTTTCAGAAGGTGGGTAATAATGGACTTTGTTGAGCTAAAGGAGCATGTTCTAACCCAATGCAAAGAAGCTAAGAACCATGATAAAACATTACAGGAGGCGTTAACCAGAATAACCAGGTTTGAGGCAAGCATAAATAACCTGATGGTGCAGAAAAAACACAACACAAGAATGTCACAATGCAATCGCAAATATCAATAGCCAAACTGACCAAGCAGAGTAAAGAATTTCAGAGCGTAAAGACTATCTTGCTGAAATAAGACAGGCAGACATGATGAGAGAAAAAAGAATAAAAAGGAATGAACAAAACCTCAGAGAACTATGTGATTATGCAAAAAGACCGAACCCATGACTGATTGGGGTACCTGAAAGAGATGAGGAAAATGGAACCAGGTTGGAAAACATACTTCACGATATCATCCAGGAGAACTTCCCGAACCTAGCAAGACAGACCAACATTCAAATTCAACATTCAAATTCAGGAAATCAAGAGAACCTCAGTAAGATACTCCAGAAGAAGACCAACCCCAAGACACATAATCAGATTCTCCAAGGTCAAAATGAAGGAAAAAAATGTTAAGGGCAGTCAGAGAGAAAGGCCAGGTCATCTACAAAGAGAAGCCCATCAGACTAACAGCAGACCTCTCAGCAGAAACCCTGCAAGCCAAAAGATATCGGGAGGCCAATATTTAACATTCTTAAAGACAATAATTTCCAACCCAGAATTTCATATCTGGCCAAATTAAGCTTCATAAGCAAAAGAGAAATATTAATAAAATCCTTTTCAGGCAAGCAAATGCTGAGGGAATTCATCACCACCAGGCCTGCCTTCCAAGTGCTCCTGAAGGAAGAACTAAATATGGAAAGGAAAAACTGTTACCAGCCACTACAAAAACACACTGAAGTACAAAGACCAATGACACTATGAAGCAACTACATCAACAAGTCTGCAAAAGAACCAGCTAGCATCATGATGACAGGATCACATTCACATATAACAATATTAACTTTAAATATAAATCAGCTAAATGCCCCAGTTAAAAGACACAGAATGGCAAGATGGATACAGAGTCAAGACCCATCGGTGTGCTGCATTCAAGAGATCCATCTCACATCGAAAGATACACATAGCCTCAAAATAAAGTATGGAGGGAAATTTACCAAGCAAATGGAAGGCAGACAAAAGCAGGGGTTGCAATCCTAGTTTCTGGCAAAACACACTTTAAACCAACAAAGATCAAAAAAGACAAAGAAGGGCATTACATAATGGTAAAGGGGTCAATTCAACAAGAAGAGCTAACTTTCTAAATATATATGTACCCAATACAGGAGCTCCCAGATTCATAAAACAAGTTCTTAGAGACCTACAAAGAGACTTTTACTTCCACACAATAATAGTGGAAGACTTTAACACCCAACTGTCAATATTACACAGATCATTGAGACAGAAAATAAACAAGGATATTCAGGACTTGAACTTAGCTCTGGATCAACTGGACCTGATAGATATCTGTAGAACTGTACGCTGCAAAACAAAAGAATATACATTCTTCTTGGCACCACATGGTACTAACTCTAAAATTGATCACATAATTGGAAGTAAAACACTCTTCAGCAAATGCAAAAGAAACAAACAGTCTCTCAGACAACAGCACAATCAAACTAGAACTCAAGATTAAGAAACTTACTCAAAACCACACAACTACATGGAAATTGAACAACCTGCTTCTGAATGATTCCTGGGTAAATAATTAAATTAAGGTAGAAATGAAGTTATTTGAAACCAATGAGAACAAAGGGACAATGTACCAGAATCTCTGGGACACAGCTAAAGCAGTGTTAAGAGGGAAATTTGTAGCACTAAATCCCCACATCGAAAAGCTCAAAAGATCTCAAATTGACATCCTAACATCAAACTAAAAGAACTAGAGAACCAAGAGGAAAAAAAACCCAAAGCTAGCAGAAGACAAGAAATAACCAAGATCAAGGTGGAATTGAAGGAGACAGAGGCACGAAAAACTCTTCAAAAGATCAACGAATCCAGCAGGTGTTTTTTGAAAAAAATAATAAAATAGACCACTAGCTAGACTAATAAAGAAGAAAAGAGAGAAGAATTAAATAGACACAATAAAAATGATGAAGGGGATATCACAACTGAACCCACAGAAATACAAACAATCATCAGAGAATAGTGTAAATACCTCTATGCAAATAAACTAGAAAATCTAGAAGAAATAGATAAATTCCTGGACACATACACCCTGCCAAGACGGAACCAGAAAGAAGTTGAATCCCTGAATAGACCAATAACAAGTTCTGAAATTGAGGCAGTAATAAATAGTCTACCAACAAATAAAAGCCCACGACCAGTTGAATTTACTACTGAATTCTACCAGAGGTACAAAGAGAAGCTGGTACCATTCCTTCTGAAATTATTCCAAACAATTAACAAGGCAGGACTCCTCCCTAACTCATTTAATGGGGCCAGCATCATCCTGATACCAAAACCTGGTAGAGATACAACAACAAAAAAGAAAACATCAGACAAATATCCCTGATGAACATTAGTGTAAAAATTCTCAACAAAATACTGGCAAACTGAATCCAGCAGCATATCAAAAAGCTTATCTACCATGATCAAGGTGGCTTCAACCCCGGGATGCAAGGCTGGTTCAACATATGCAAATCAATAAGCATAATTCATCACATAAACAGAACTAAAGACAAAAATCACATAATCATGGATTGTCTCAATAGATGCAGAAAAGGCCTTCAATAAAATACCACATCCCTTCCTGTTAAAACCTCTCAATAAACTAGGTATTGATGGAACGTATCTCAAAATAATAAAAGCCATTTATGACAAACTCACAGCCAATATCATACTGAATGGGCAAAAGCTGGAAGCATTCCCTTTGAAAACCAGCATAAGACAAGGATGTCCTCTTTCATCACTCCTATTCAACATAGAATTGGAAGTTCTGGCCAGGGCAATCAGAGAAGAGAAAGAAATAAAGGGTATCCAAATAGCAAGAATTACAGATTACATAATCCTATATCTATAAAACCCTATCATCTCAGCCCAAAAGCTTCTTAAGCTGAAATGCAACTTTAGCAAAGTCTCAGGATACAAAATCAATGTACAAAAATCACAAGCATTCCTATACAACAACAATATACGAGCAGAGAGCCAAATCATGAATGGACTCCCATTCACAATTGCTACAAAGAGAATACAATACCTAGGGATACAGCTAACAAGGGAAATGAAGGCCCTCTTCAAGGAGAACTACAAACCTCTCCTCAAGGAAAGCAGAGAGGACACAAACAAATGGTAAGACATTCCAGGCTCATGGATAGGAAGAATCAATATTGTGAAAATGGCCATACTGCGCAAAGTAATTTATAAATTCACTGCTATTCCCATTAAATGACTACTGACATTCTTCACAGAATTAGAAAAAACTACCTTAAAATTCATATGGAAACAAAAAAGAGCCAATATACCCAAGACAATCCTAAGATAAAAGCACAAAACTGGAAGCATCATGCTACCTGGCTTCAAACTGTACTACAAGGCTACAGTAACCAAAACAGCATGGTACTAGTACAAAAACAGAAACATAGACCAATGGAACAGAATCTAGAACTCAGAAGTAAGACCACAGATCTACAACCAATTGATCTTTGACAAACCTGACAAAAAACTAGCAATGAGGAAAGGATTCCCTATTTAATAAATGGTGCTGGGATAACTGGCTAGCATATGCAGAAAAATTGAAACTGGACCCCTTTTATACACATTACATAAAAATTAATTCAAGATGGATTAAAGACTTAAATGTAAAACCCAAAACTATAAAAACCCTAGAAGAAAATTTAGGCAATACTATTCAGGATATAGGCATGGGCAAAGATTTCATGATGAAAATGTCAACAGCAGTTGCCACAAAAGCAAACATTGACAAATGGGATCTAATTATACTAAAGAGCTTCTGCACAGCAAAAGAAAGTATCATCAGAGTGGACCGACAACCTACAGAATGGGAGAAAATTTTTGCAACTATTCATCTGACAAATGTCTAACATCCAGAATGTACAAGGGACTTAAACAAATTTACAAAAATAAACCCCAAACAACCCCATTAAAAAGTGGGCAAAGGACATGAACAAACACTTCTCGAAAGAAGATACTTATGCAGCCAACAAACATATACTTTTAAAAAGCTCAACATCACTGATCATTAGAAAAATGCAAATCAAAACCACAATGAGATACCATCTCACAGCAGTCAGAATGGAGATTATTAAAAAGTCAAGAAACTACAGATGCTGTGAGACTGGAGAAACGGGAATGCTTTTACACTGCTGGTGGGAATGTAAATTAGTTCAACCATTATGGAAGACAGTGTGATGATTCCTCGAAGACCTAGAACCAGAAATACCATTTTACCCAGCAATCCCATTACTGGGTATATACCCAAAGGAATATAAATCATTCTATTATAAAGATACGGGCTCACATATGTTCATTGCAGCACTATTCACAATAGCAAAGATATGGAGTCAACCCAAATGCCTATCAATGATAGACTAGAAAAAAAAATGTGGTACATATACACCATGGGATACTATGCAGCCACAAAACAGAATGAGATCATGTTCTTGGCAGGGACATGGATGGAGCTGGAAGCCATTATCCTTAGCAAACTAACTCAAGAACAGAAAACCAAACACTGAATGTTCTCACTTATAAGTGGAAGCTGAACAATGAGAACACATGAACTCAGGGAGGGGAACAACACACACTGGGTCCTGTCAGGGGAGAGGGAGAGCATCAGGAAAAACAGCTAACGCATGCCAGGCTTAATACGCAGGTGATGGGTTGATAGGTGCAGCAAACCACTATAGCACATGTTTACCTATGTAACAAACCTGCATATCCTGCACATGTACCCCGGAACTAAAATAAAATAATACAATAAAACAGTGACATTTGTATGTTCCAGTTTAGAAGACATTATAAATGTAAACAAGATAACAGGATCCAATACTTTTCCCTGATTCAAGATAATGGGGAGAACACATTTGGCTGCATTATTCAAACTTAAAGGAATCATTAAGTCAATTTCAAATCATGTCATTCCAGGCATCAGAAAGATAAGAATTTTATATTAAAAAACTTGTAGGTTAAAAAATATGTCCAAATTCTCATATTCACTCCATCGCTTTATCTTAGTCATGACTGTCCCATCAATTTCGCCTAAATATCTCTAGGCTACTTTGTCCTGCCCATCCTGAATCTGCCATGTGGCAAAGGCCCTCATCACTCTAGTACTGTACCAGGCTCTGAACTGCATTTCCTGACTCCAGACTGATGTCACGTGGTATAAGTTGCCTGACTCAAAACCTTTACTACTTTCCCACAGCTTTTAGAATCTTGTCCCTATGAGGTGGTTTTACATACAGGCATCTTGTTATCTGGCTTCTCGCTGGCACAGCTAGTTTCATCTCAATTCCTCCTTGACTCACAAACCCTCTACTCTTATTCAAAGCCCCTTCCCCCAAGAAACATACTCTCATACTTCAAGGGCTTTCCACGACATCTGTTTTCATTGGCTGGAAGATGGCTTCACTTCTTATCAATCTTGCTAACTCATCTTTACTTTTAAGGATACAGACCAATTATCATTTATCTCTGGAAGCCTTTCTTTGTACCTGTGCTTTAGACATGCCATCTTTGGTCTCATGGAACCCAGCAAACTCTTATGACAGTGCTTAATAACATAGTACTGCCCTTGCCAGTTTCTTTATCAATCTTTGCAAGCTATATGCTTTTAGAAGATAGGATCTATACCTGTTTACTCTTGTACACTGCAATTAGCACAAGCTTGTCCATCAATATTTACTGAAAATATGCATTACCATCACAGTAACAGTAGTTAACATTTGGACAACATGTTACGGTTAACAAAGCACTTTTTTGGAGTACATATATTATCTCATTTAATAATTAAAATAATCACTTACAATTTTAGCATGCATCAGAATCATCTGGAAAGTTTGTTAAAACACAGATTATTTATTCTTCTCCCCAGAGTTTCTGATTCATTAAGTCTGGGGTGGCCCAATAATTTCATTTCTAACACTCTCAAGTAATGCTGCCTCCGCTGGTCTGGGGTACACACTTTGAGAACCACTGCCTTAGAACATCCCTGTGAAAGGTTAAATGTTATTCCCAATTTACAGAGGAAATTGAAGCTCAGAGAGCAATGGCTTTGTAAGTAGTAAATTCACGGCCTCTGAACTGCTTGTCTGCTTGTCATTGTACAATGTGAATATTAGTGAAATGGTAAATTTATTTCAGTTCTTCATAAAAGGCAGTTTATATATTATCAAATTCTGTCCTTAGGAGATTATAATATGAAAACACAAATCATGTGCTCTTGTGTGGTTTTTATTGAAATTTTCATTTGAATTGGTAGTCAAGTTGCATAGAATTGCAAATGTAGGAAGGAAGCACATTTCAACATTATTTCAAAATTATTACAGTACAGTAGAAATAGCTTTAATTACTTGAGTAGAAATGCAGCAGATAAAAAGTGTTCTTCTTTTCCCTCTTTGTTCAAACAGGTTGATGGCATGATGTTATGGCTGAGATGATACTAAAAAAAAGTTTTTTTAAAAAAATGTCCTGAAGTTGGTGTTTTGAGCTTCTATTTCTCCTGCCTTTCCTTTTTTTCAAGCTGTTATGAAGTAATATTTCCCTGGAGCTGGATAGAAAAAAAAAAGGAAGAAGAAATAGAGAGGAAACTAAATAATTCAGAAACTGGGCAATTGAAAATGGCTGCAAGTCAATAGAAACCAGTCTTGTTTTAAGGTGAAGAAGGTGAAGGCATTAAATTTTTGCTGTGGAGTGTAGTCCTTCCAAGAAACAGGTTTTTGAAATTTTTCTCCTCTTTTCATAGGAAGTCTGAAAAATTTTTCCTTTCAAATGTATATTCTGGCCTCTTATTTCCAGTAAGATCTTATTCATGTTTTCTCTTTATCACTTGAAATATACATAAAAGCACACAAATAAACAAAAATGGGAATGTTGAAATTAGAAAGAATGAGCAATGAATTGCTGGGCTCTGGAAGGAAGGAATTTCTACCAACTGCAGAATCTGTGAGGGGCCAGGCTGAGAATCTATGAGGCTCTAAGACTCTCTTTGACCTCTTGGGAAAACAAGGAGGTTCTCTACTTGCTCAACTAAAACAGGAAATTTTTCAATGGCTTTCCATCAGATGGAGATAAAAAGTGTAAACTCTGAACATGTTGGCTACCGAGTAATCATTGAGTACCTTCTATTTGCTAGGCTTTGCACTAGGTTGTAGGCATCATATCCTATCAAACCATGTGTTTTCTGGCCTCTGAACTTACTCACTGGAGATGAGGTTACGCCATTCCCTAAATATACTAAGCTTATCCTTTTCTTAGTGACTTCATGTTTGCTCTTTCCGGTGACAGATATACTCTATCCAAATCTTAGACTATCTTGCGCTTTCATGGAATTGAGGTCTTAACTCAAATTATACCCTCTCAGAGATGTCTTAGTCAACAAGTCTAAGATAGGCCACTGCCATCATCTCTTCCCCATCTCTTTCGGACATATGCTTGCCCTAATTCTCTTTATTGCATTTTTTACTACCCAAACCTTATGCACACACACATGCACCCAGATACATACATGCACACGCATATAAATTATGTATATATATTTAAAATATATTTGTAAGTATAATAAAAGTACTTAAATATTATGTACATATATTAAAATAGATATATCAATAGAAATCTGAAAACCTGACCAAAATGAATGATTTTAAAGAGACATTATAAATCATAAAAAAGTAACAGAAACTGTGGAAATCCATGATAGTTCAATAATATTTATGATACTGAAAAATTCTTACCACATGCTTCAATCTAGGCTATTTGGCTGTTTGTTCTTTCCAAGTTTCAGGAAAAGGTAATCTTCATGCTATACATTTGGAAAATAAGCCAATATTTGCCTAGTAATAGAAGCTCAAAAAATCTTATGCACAGAAGAAAATCTGAAAACAGTGTCATTTATAGATGTGAACATCTTAACTAAATTACTGGCAATCTGAATATAAGAGTATATGGTGCTGCAGCATTTAGTGAACACTGCCTCTTCCCTCACTATACAGTTCTAATCATATAAGGAAAAGGCAAAAAATTTTATTTATTTATTTATTTTGAGACGGAGTCCCACTCTGTCACCCAGGCTGGAGTGCAGTGGCGCGATCTCGGCTCACTGCAAGCTCTACCTCCCGGGTTTACCCCATTCTCCTGCCTCAGCCTCCTGAGAAGCTGGGACTACAGGCGCCCGCCACCATGCCCGGTTAATTTTTTTGTATTGTTTTTTAGTAGAGATGGGGTTTCACCATGTTAGCCAGGATGGTCTCGATCTCCTGACCTCGGGATCTGCCCTCCTCAGCCTCCCAAAGTGCTGGGATTACAGGTGTGAGCCACTGCGCCCGACCAAAGGCAAATAAATTTGTATAAAAAGCAGAGGACCTTGTGGGAGAGAAGTAAAAATATAGCAGAAAATCGAATGTCCTAAGTTATCAACAGACTACCTCCAATAATATTTCCACCAAAGAGCACTGTACTTAAGAATTTCCTCAAACTCTTAGTGAATAAATAATCCTCATGTTATATAAGCTCTTCTAAACATATAAAATGAGTAAAATCAAAACTGTTTTCCTATTAATGAAGAGTCTCTTAAGATATTTTCTGGCCTCCATCAATTTACTGGTGAATTATCTCAAAAATGTTTAATAAACAGGTAATTCTCAGGTTATATGTACTCTTTTAAAAAGATGAAGGCTAACTGATAGGTTTCAAAAAGATATATATTGGTCGGCTCCAGTGGCTCACACCTGTAATCCCAGCACTTTGGGAGGCCGAGGCAGACAGATCACCTGAGGTCAGGAGTTCGACTTCAGCCCGGCCAACATGGCAAAACCCCTTCTCTACTAAAAATACAAAAATTAGCCGGGCATGGTGGTGTGCACCTGTAATACCAGCTACTCGGGAAGCTGAGGCAGGAGAATTGCTTGAACCCAGGAGGCAGAGGTTGCAGTGAGCTGAGATGTTGCCACTGCACTCCAGCCTAGGTGAGAGAGAGAGACTGCCTCAAAAAACAAAATACAAAAAAAAAAAAAAAAAAGCTATATATCTCTGTTGCATCAATCAAATATAACACATCTAGAAAGTCATAGATCAACCTGAAAGTTGATCTATGCAGTAGATAATCTCCTATAAAAGAGTCTAAAGAGCTGGTAGTAATATAATATTATATATATAGAGAGAGAGATTTAAGAGCAATTCCACTGTTTATGTATCTTTGTTGTTAGATGATTTAATGATCTCTGAAATCTTCACACCCTTGGACAAAATGAAAAATGATGGTCTTTAATGTGTAACACCTGTGAAGATGCGGCTGGAGGTGACAGAGATGTGGACTCTCTGGAATAAGAATAGGGTGGCATGGCTAACAATGGAAGAAAAATGAGTCTCCTAGGAACTATTTCATGTTGTAATAGTCTCATAAGTTTTAAGGACAATAGGACATTTACCACCTGGCCTGTGGACACTCTAGTTGGTTAGGGCAAGAGAAAAATTGGAAAAAAGAAAAAATGAAAAAAAAAGAAAAGAGCAAGAGATGATTGCTGATTGCTACCAAAGAAAGGTTGCCTTATCTTCTGCTTAGGGTTCAGCAGTTTCTGTCACAATAAATCCTGGTACCAAGTGATTTTGCCCCATCCCATCTACAGAGCAACAGGAATTTTCTGTTAAATTAAAAATGTATAGAATTTTCATTATTTCCTGTGCATTCTAACCACATTTTCCAGGAAACAAATGGACACTAAAATTCTAATTTTTAGGCAATGGATACGTAGCATGTATTGGTGGTGTTTGTAGCGATAAATATTTATTTATTATTTATTTTTTTGAGACGGAGTCTCGCTGTGTCACCGAGACTGGAGTGCTGGAGTGCAGTGGTGCCATCTCAGCTCACTCTATCCTCCGCCTCCTCGGTTCAAGTGGTTCTCTTGCCTCAACCTCCTGAGCTACTGGGACTACAGGTGCATGCCACCACACTTGACTAATTTTTATATTTTTAGTAGAGATGAGGTTTTGCCATGTTGGTCGGGCTGGTCTCGAACTTCTAACCTCAGGTGATCCACCCACCTTGGCCTCTCAAAGTGTTGGGATTACAGGTGTGAGTCACCGTGCCTGGCCAATATTTAGCTATTTTTGTAGCATGTTATATTTACATATGTAACATACACACAGATTGGTGCAAAATAATAAATGTATATCAGCATGGGATTTACATTCCATATTTATACTAAATAGAAGGGGTTTTAAAGTTTAGATTTTAAAATTTATTCAAGTAGTCCTCATATTGTACATTCCACAGTGTGTACTAGACATTTTATGCTAAAATATCTTTTAGAAAATCATTGTCTTATCCTGGCTAACATGGTGAAACCCTGTCTCTACTAAAAATAAAAATAAAAATAAAAAAATTAGCCAGGCGTGGTGGCGGGTGCCTGTAGTCCCAGCTACTTGGGAGGCTGAGGCAGGAGAATGGCGTGAACCCGGGAGGCGGAGCTTGCAGTGAGCCGAGATGGTGCCACTGCACTCCAGCCCGGGCAACAGAGCAAGACTCCATCTCAAAAAAAAAAAAAAAAATGATTGTTTTGTTGAGAAATAAAGATATTATAGTGACCAAAAATATTTATTGAAAGCTAGGTGCTATGTATTAAGAATCAGGATAGCAGCACAAAAGATAAACTCCCTGACTTCACGAAGTTTACATTTTATTGAAGGGAGTGTGTGTATGTGTTGAGAAAGACAATATGCAAAGATATAAGTAACTAGGTTGTTGGTGGAGTCAGGGGTGTTGTAGTGCCAGTGTGAGGACCAAGTTGGAAACAGCAGTGTGGTCAACTCTTTCAAGAAGTTTTATCATGAAATGAATAAGACGAATCTGTTGGAAGCTGGAATAGGAGTAGGGACAAGTGAGGGTTGTTTTGTGTTTTTCTTGTTTTAGGGTGGCCATGTGAATCTGCTTGTTGATAATTCAGCAGACAACTCAGTAGAGTGACTAGTGTCTGAAAAAGAGAGCAAGACCACAAAGAAAATTCTTGGGAAGAGAAGGAGGAATGGGTTTCCGAGTGTTGGAGGCAAAGGGTCTTTTCTGAGGGAAGACATGGATCACCACAACAGGTGAAGGCTGGCTGATGGGTTTGCTGATGGAACAACTTGGGAATTCTTTGACAATGAATCCCTTAAGAAAATTCATGGGTAAATAATTCGCAGAAATGTGGAGTGGGAGGATTGAGGGGATGAGAAGAAAGCATACATTTGGAGTAATTTTTAACTTCCAGAAAGCATTCAAACTAGAAACATGTAGTGAAACTTTAAGGCAGTGCTGAATGCCTATTTAAGGTTATAACTATGTGTGTGTGTGTGTGTTTGTGTGTGTGTGTGTGTGTGTGTGTGCACGTGCGAGGGAAGAGGGCATTATACTTTATTTTAATTATTTTATGCATATTGTTCAAAAATTCAAGTTGCACTAGAAGTCTTGAGCTCTGATGACGAAGAATTTGGATTTCTTTGTTTCTTCTAGTGTGAGCCTCCATTTTGATAAATAATAAACATGCGTGAGGTTCTTTATTTTATTGTTATAACCAAAAATTTTTCTGTATTATATAATCAGCAGTTTCTTATTCACTCACTGCCTCCAAGCAGCCTCTCTCTACCACCTGATATTATTAAATTCATATTCAGAAGTTATAACATTATTACTACATAAATAGTATGGTTTACTTCTGAGCCAATAGCGTTATGAGGATTAATGATCACTTATTTTTTAATTTTTTTCTGGAGTTAATTATCTAATTTATTTTCATTTGCTCAGTTCTCTAGGCTTTATGGCTAATTCCTAAACTCTCCAACAACTTCTCAACACAATTTTGTACTAAATTAAATTATTAGATAAACTATGAGTACCCTTTTCCTTTAGGAAAGGGAAACTTACAAATGTTTTAGAAGAAGACTTCCAAAACTCCCTGTCCCTTTGCTCCAACCTGAAAGGCTTGCTCTCAGGGTCTTCCCCTTAACAACCTGTAGGCTTTCTCTCGAACATCAGCCCTGGGTCCCAGATCCCAGGTCTTCCTCTTCCTCAGTTTCCTCCCTCATTTTGCTAGAGTACAGGATGCATGGGAGGTTAATTTCTAAAGATTGTTTGTTTCAAATACTATGTTCATAGTCCATTTTTAGTTTGGTTGGCTTTGGAACTCAGGTTCAAAAATTATTTAATCTAATGAACACAAATCTTCTAGCTTCTAGATAGCTTCTCCATTAACTTCTAGCTTCTAGAGAGCTTCTCCATTATCTTCCAGCTTCTAGATAACTCTATCATCTTCCAGTTTCTAAGAAGATCACTCCAGTATCTTCCAGCTTCCGGTGATTCTTTCAGTATTCATGAATCTTTTTATGTGGACAGTTACATTCACAGATAATCTTTATGGATAGTGCTGCCATCTCAGTTTCCCTGAAATTTCCCTGTGGAGGGCCTTGGAATAAATCTTTCCTAATTTATTGTACCTGGAAGTTAGAGGCCTTCACCAATCTGGGGAAATTTTTCATTATTTATTTTACCATTTTCTCCCTGGTCCATTTTCTCTGTTCTCTCTTCCTGGAATTTCTACTATTTGGATATTGAACCCTCTGAATTGACCCTTAAATTTTCTTTTTTTTCCATATTTTCCTTTCCTTTATACTCTTTTTTTGGAGGAGAAGGGGTTGAATTTATATTCCAGTATTTTTGTCAATGTCTAAAATTTTTGAGTGTTGTATTATAATTTCCTAAATCCCTTTTTTCCTCTAGTCATTACTTTTTCACAGACTCCAGGTATATATTCTAACTCTGCACATATTAAATAGAATTAAATGTTTCTCTTCAGCTCTCTATGTCACTTCTGTTTCATCAGGGTTATATTTTTCTATCAGAATCTGTTGATTTACTAGTTTTATCTGACTTTCTTATTAGTGGCGTTCTCCCACATTTGGTTATCCTCGGCTTTCTGGGTGCATTGATGACTAAAGCCCTGAAAAAATGATCACTGGATGTCTAGCGTGGGCTGGATTGGGTGACTGAAGGGCTATGTTTTAGGTCACCAACCTCCCTTTCTTGGTGCATGCCCTATTATAGAATTTTCGAGGCTTCATTCTGGTGTCATTTTGCCTCCCCATTGAGAAATACTTCCATCTTTCACTCTGTGGTGACAGTGGGAGTTTGGCATGGGGAAGATCTAAGAGTGACTGCTGGTGTCCCAGGAACCAGGGAGGAAATGAAACAGGTTTCTCTCCAATAAATATGAAAATGGGAAATTCTTGGGTGCTATGGTCTGAACGTTTGTATCTCCCTAAATTTATTTCTTGAGAACCTAATTACCAATTGGATGATATTCAGAGGTGGGGTCTTTGGGAGGTGTTGAAAGCATGAGGGTGGAGCCCTCATTAATGGGATTAATGCCCTTGTAAAAGAGGCCCCAGAGGATTGCCTTGCACCTTCCATCATGTGAAGACACAGCAAAAAGGCACCATCTATGAACCAGAGATTGCTCACAACAGACACTGAATCTGCCAGCAACTTGTCCTTGGACTTCTCAGCCTCCAGAACCATGAAAAAAGAATTTGTGTTGTTTATAAGTTACCCCTTCTATGGTGTATCAGGCCATCATTACATTACCATAAAGAAATACCCTGGGTAATTTATAAAGAGAGGAGGTTTGATTGGCTCACAGTTTTGCAGACTGTACAGAAAGCATGGTGCTGCATCTGCTCAGCTTCTGGTGAAGCCTCAGGGAGCTTTCAATCATAGCAGAAAGCAAAGGGGAAGCCCGCACATTACATGGTGAAAGCAGGGGTAAGCAAGCAGTGGTAAGCAAGAGAGAGAGAGAGAGAGAGTGGCAGGGAGGTGCCACACACTTTTAAATAACCAACTCTCATGAGAACTCACTATTGTGAAGACAGCACCAAGCCACAAAGAATCTGTCCCCATGACCCAAACACCTCCCACCAGGCCCCAACTCTAGCATTGGAGATTACAGTTCAACATGAGATTTGGGCAGGGACACAGATCCAAAGTATATCATGTGGTATTTTGTTACAGCAGCCCCAAAGGACTAAAACACTGGAACAGTACCTCATAGCTGGCCCCTGCTAAGTAAGCTGTTACTGAGTCCAGATATTTTTTTTTCCTTTTTTAAATAGAGACGAGATCTCCATATGTTGCCCAGGCTGGTCTCAAACTCCTGGCTTCAAGCAATCCTTCGCCTCAGCCTCCTAAAGCACTAGGATTATAGGTGTGAGCCACAGAACCTGGCCTCAGTCCAAAGTTTTTGGCACAATTTTTCTAGAGAATGAATCTCCTTAATTGAGAGGCAGTGCTGGGGGTGGGGCCTTCTGGGGTGCAGCTGGAGTTTGGATATCAAAGAATCCTTACAGGGTAGCAAGCAATTTCTGTCCCATTTAGTGTTTCATCCAGCAGTGTGAGGTGTAGGTTACCTCTAATTCCTGGGCCTCCTAGGGTGTCTGTAAAGTGAATGCATTTGCTCCTCATTGATAGCTTCTTCTGCAGGTACACAAGTTCTAGCTCTTCCACTCAGATAAGTCACTCCACCATCTTCTAAAATGTTATTAACTTTTTTTGTTCATTCTTCACTGCCCTGCCCTTGTGGATTTATATGGCTTTATTCTTTTTTGATATTGTTTTGGTGAGTCTGGAAAGGGAGAAATGATGAAGGCTTATGCTACCAGCTACCTACCAGCATTTAAAATTTTCTCCATCTACTTTAGCTGCTCTAATGCAGTTATAGAAAAGATAGGTAGTTGGGTTCATTTCGAAGTAAAGTTTTTCCCAATAAACATGATTCAGGGAGAAAAGTAAAAAGAAATTGGCAATATTCCCAAGAGAATACTCGCAATAATGGATCATGGAATTTAAGTTTGGTAAGAATGGAGGTAAAGGAAGATGAGGAAAATTATGAAATATGTAAAAATGGGTTTGAGGTCAGTAGTTTGAGAATCTGAATAAGAACAGGGAATACTGCAGTGAAAGTACTAGACTGATTCCATAGCCTAGTAGTATACAGCATTATAGTCAGAAACAGTGATATCTGAAATGGAAATACTATAGCTGTAGGTGATGACAACGTCCAGAATGTGACAAAAAGAATGAAAAGATCTGAAAGTATAGAAGACAAGCTAATTAAGGAGAGGTCAGAGAATTGAAAGGACCAAGAGCATTTGGAAGATAAACTCATGGATGGTTAGGTGACTAAGAATGATTACAGGAATGGAAATAAATACAGGTAAAAGATACAAATCAATAAATGTGAGGAGGCTGATGCCAGGAACTATGAGGAGTAGCAAACAGGGTAGCCAGATGGCACATGCCTCAAAGAAGCTTGTGGCTTTGAAAGAGGAGGGAGGACGAAAGTTTTGGGGGAAGCAAGGAGGGATGAAGAGGACACCTATCTCCCTCCTGCGTTTGAATTCCGACCATTTGACTTGTGAACATATAACCAGCTTGCACTGAGAGGGCCACAGCGAAAGCACTGTCCTCCAGGGACAGCCTGTTTTCTGTTACGGCAAGGAATTAAAAAAAAAAAAAAATCATTAGAAAAGATCTCAAGGCTACAGGACAGTTAGTTAACCACAGAGCCGGAGATCCAAGGGACACAAAGAAAGAGTTTGGGAAAATGGAGAGAGGACAGGATTAATTTAGATGAGCAAATGTATTCTGCAAAATGGAATCAGAAATCCTGAGTGGTAATTGACGGCTTTGAGAGCAAAAGCATAGAGAAGTTAATGTTTAAGTTAAAGCCCTGAATGCCCACGTTTTAGTAGAATTTCAGGGAAGCTGCTGTATCAGTAGTGTGAAATGGTGCGATGTCTTGGGGGAGGAAGGTGAAGGGGATCTGAGTTATGTCACCCTAAAATGTGCCACTTTGGAAAAAGGATCACTTTGAGGCAATTGAGAAAAAAACCACAGAGAATGAACTCTACCATTCCCTTTATCTGCCTGAAAACAGAACATAAATTCCCCTTAGGAAGGTCCTACCCCTGCTCTGCTTCTGGTACGAGAAATGGGAAAACGACCTTATCACCGGAAGAAAGATGGCACTGAGATGCTACGCAAAGAAACTTTATTAGCTAGCCCTCATCTACCATTAGTTTCCCTCTATATTTGTCCCACAACTTTCCACCACAGAAGCTCAAAATCCGTTTTGTTTGTTTGTTTGTTTGTTTTGTTTTGTCTTGTCACTTCTCTGTAAATGTATTATTCTTTTGTTAGGATGCTATGTAAGCCTAAATTCTAACCACCTCTGAGTTACTCATCACGGAGCTCTCCTACATGTATACATGCGTTAATAAACTTCTGTTTGTTTTTTGTCTTGTTAATCTATATTTTGTCAGTCTAATTTGCAGAGCCCTAGTTAATGAACCTAAGATGGGTAGAGGACAAAGTTATTTTCTTCTCTTACAAAGGTTATAAATATAATCAATCTTAATAAGTGTCTCTTGATCTGCTAAGATTCAAGGTAATTGGCCTTTGGTTTAAACCTAAATTTTTGATGATAGGTGAATGATTAATATTATTTGACGATAATATTTCTAATGAAATGCAAAAAAATGGTCATGATAAAAAGTACAAAAATAAGCATTCCAATGGTTAACAAACTGTATGATCCCACTTTTAAAGGTAAAGATACACAAACATATTAATTTTGGTTATTTCTGAGGTTTTCGGTTTAAACTGGATAAGCTTCTGAATTTTTAAATTATTTATAATAAATATATTAAAACACATTTTTTCAATATAGAAACAATACAAATTTAAAAACTGTATCAGTAATACAGGAGTTACATCTTTTTCCTTCCTTAGACGTGGGGCTCCATTTATTTAAAGAAAGATGTTATTCTGTGAAGCCTTTAACTTAATAAACAAGCTTGCTTTTGACATATACAAAGGCCATTAAATTGAATTAACACTTGAAGCCAGCAATTTACAACTACACTCATCATCAGAATTACTAGGAAAGCAATTAAAAACAGAAGGAGGAAAAAAAAGAGATCTCCTGAGCCTGCCCGAGAATTACTGAATCAAAAATCCCTGGAGTGCATGATTATTCTGATGATTAGATAATATATAAAATTTTGAAACCACTGTCACAAGAAAGGTACAAAGCAAAAGAAATTAAATTAGATCTAATTAATCATTAAATTAACAATCTAAATTAGCAAGTAGATGGAACTAGTCACCATGTTTCTTTATTTTATTTTATTTTATACTATGACATTAGAGTCTTAGATGGTGTAAAGGCATTTCATTTTATTCTTGCAGCTGATCACAAGAAAAAAAAAACCCTGGAAAAAATATGAAAGTCACCTATGGAAGACTCTGAAGGTAGAGAAGAGAAGGCAAATTGTTCAGGGACTTCAGGAATCAATGAACCACTTAGGGATGAATTCCCTCTTGTTTTTGCTTGTTTGTTTGCCTTTTCCTTGTTTCTTGTATGTCCCTGCCTGGCAAGTAGAAAAGGCCACAACCCAGAAATGTGTATGGGTGTGGCCAATAAAAGTTCCCCAAAAGGCCTGTTCTGTCTAGCCGAAAAAACACTGGTCAAAGCTAGCCCAGCAGGACAGAACATTTTAACCATATCCACCTGTTGTCCAGAACAATATCTGGGAAAAAAAAAACTCCCATTTCTCCACCCTAACAAGTGAATTATTCTGAAATGGTCTGAAAGCAGTTCACCTGTTTCCCAGATGAAGGGTTTGAGAGCCGGATGCTGTCTGTCTGAGGGTTGTGGGAGCTCTGTGGAAGCTGAGTGCAGCCCCTATCATGCAACCTGGGTTCTGCTCTATCTTCTGACAACCCATTAAAAATCATGCTCCAATTTCTCAAAGAACTAAAACTAGAACCACTAATTGATTCTGCACTCCCTCTACTGGCTATCTACCCAAAGGAAAAGAAGCCATTACATTAAAAAAAGACACCTGCATTTGTATGTTCACTGCAGCACTATTCACAATAGCAGAGTCATGGAATCAACTTAAGTGTCTTTCAGTGGAGGACTGGATAAGGAAAATGTCACACATATATACCATGGAATACTACTCATCCATAAGAAAAAATGAAATCATGTCTTTTGCAGCAACATGGATGAACCTGGAGGCCATTATACTAAGTGAAATGACTGAGAAAAAGAAAGTCAAATACCACATGATCTCACTTATAAGTGGGAGCTAAATAATTTGTACACATGGGCATAGAGACTGGAATAATAGGCACTGGAGACTCAAAAATATGAAAGGGTGGAAGAGGGGTGAGGGATGGAAAATTACCAATTGGGTGCAATGTCCATTATATGGGTGACGGTTAAACTAAAAGCCTAGACTTTGCCATTATGCAGTATATCCATGAAACAAAACTGCACTTGTACTCCCTAAATCTATAAAAATAAATAAAATAAAATATAGAAATCTAGCAATTACAAAAAATCCCACTACAGGGCCACTCAAGCCATCCATGGATATGGTATACTCCTTTTCTGAGGGTCAACATTCTATGATTAATGAAAAATGGACTCTTCTCTTGAAGCTTTTTACCTTGGCTTTTTCTAGAACAAATTCTTGGCCTCCACATCCCACTTACCTGGGTGATCTCTGAGTTTTCAGATTTTTGATTCATTTTTCTTGCTCTTACTGCTTTTGTTATGGAATTGGCATGGGTGATAGGCCAAGTCACCCTGATGAATCATAATCAGGATCATGTTTTCCAAAGTTATATACAGAAATGCACAAAATGGTGCAAAAACATGAGCAGTTGAAAATTTAAAAACCTGACTTTTCTCTTTCCTTGAATAATTGGATGACCTTGAGTAAATCACTAAAACTCTTAATACCTTGGTCTGCACACACTGCTTTATATTCTTTACATCTTAGAAATGCTACAAATACATAACGTTTTAAGAGTGGGAGAGTCCTTTGGATTCCTCAAAAAGAATGACGGTATATTAAACTCGAAAATAGTATTTAATTTTGTTAAATAACAAATGGTGAATAAAAGAATGAGTTATCTTTCTGCTTTTTGCTTCTGCAACCTGCTGTTCTGTAATGAAATTACTGTGCTTCCTAATCTCCCTTAAAGATCAGGTGAAGGAGAGCCTCAGTGGAGACTTTCATCTTAAAGGTCCTTTAACTTCCATTCAAGCTTTGATTTTGCTGTATGCATTTTGTTCAAATAACAAGTTAATTTATGTGTATTCAATTATAAATACGAAATAGTGTTAGTATTGAACAGTACCTAGTAAATAGCAAGAATATATGAAAACAGTCTTATTCAATTATTTTTTTTCTTCCTAGGACTTAGAATAGTACATAATAATTATACTCTTTCATATTAAAATACTCTGTGATTACATTAACAGATGCTACTTGTTTGGATATTTAAAAAATAAAAATGAAGGAGTATGTGTCATATTGAATCCATTTATATATTGGAAAATGAATTTAGAATCTCAGTTTTTGAACCTGAAGTACTTATTTTGTTCATCTAGGTGTTAGCCATGGTGTTTAATAGATGTATCGTTTCTGACAATAGCAGTTAAGGCTGTTTTCCTTGGTTTGTTCTCTGTAATTATATTCTTGTTAATTTTCATCTGTCACTTGTTTTCCTTTTTACCAAACAAAAATTCTTTTTTTTTAAAATTATACTTTAAGTTTTAGGGTACATGTGCACAACGTGCAGGTTTGTTACATATGTATACAGGTGTCATGTTGGTGTGCTGCACCCATTAACTCGTCATTTAACATTAGGTGTATCTCCTAATGCTATCCTTCCCCCCGCCCCTATCCCTCAACAGGCCCCAGTGTGTGATGCTTCCCTTCCTGTGTCCATGTGTTCTCATTGCTCAGTTCCCACCTATGAGTGAGAACATGCAGCGTTTGGTTTTTTGTCCTTGTGACAGTTTTCTGAGAATGATGGTTTCCAGCTTCATCCATGTCCCTACAAAGGACATGAACTCATCTTTTTTTATGGCTGCATAGTATTCCACGGTGTATATGTGCCACATTTTCTTAATCCAGTCTATCATTGTTGGACATTTGGGTTGGTTCCAAGTCTTTGCTATTGTGAATAGTGCTGCAATAAACATACGTGTGCATGTGTCTTTATAGCAGTATGATTTATAATCCTTTGGGTATATACCCAGTAATGGGATGGCTGGAACAAATGGTATTTCTAGTTCTAGATCCCTGAGGAATCGCCACACTGACTTCCACAATGGTTGAACTAGTTTACAGTCCCACCAACAGTGTAAAAGCGTTCCTATTTCTCCACATCCTCTCCAGCACCTGTTGTTTCCTGACTTTTTAATGATTGCCATTCTAACTGGTGTGAGATGGTACCTCATTGTGGTTTTGATTTGCATTTCTCTGATGGCCACTGATGATGAGCATTTTTTCATGTGTCTGTTGGCTGCATAAATGTCTTCTTTCAAGAAGTGTCTGTTCATATCCTTCGCCCACTTTTTGATGGGGTTGTTACAAAACAAAAATTCTTAAGTGTGTTAGGAAGAATGATGTTGAAGTAACTGAAGTATCTACTACCTCTTTCTGCATGCAAAAATAACAGGCTGAACTTAGGGAAAACATAATTAAACAAGGAAATCCAATTGTAAAATAGTTATTTGAGGAACGATGAGAACTATGGCTAACTAGGTTTCTCTTTTATGAAAATGTAAGGAAGTGGAAAAGCCTGCTAGAATTAACGCCACTGGTATTTTGACACATGCTATTTTATTAGATTGGATACTTATGGGAGAAAATATTCCATGCTTTCAAGTGATGACAATCGCTCTTTACTCTCAAAAGCAAGTCAAGTCAAAATAAAACAAAACTACTTTTCACATGGAGAAAGGTGAAGGTAGTGCATAAGGTACTCTGGGCATTTTAACATGGTGCCTGATGACTGTAAACATGCCTAGGATGCTGTTCTTCTACTCCCATTAAACTCATCATGCATACAGAGTGACTCATTAAATGTGTATTTCTCCTCTCACCCTCTAAGGTCCAGGAAGGCAGTAGTACCATCTACCTTGGTCACTGCTTTGTCTACAGGTTTGAATAGGTTTGGTTTTTGGTCATAAAATTTACACATTTTCAATTAAATTGTGCTGATGTGGCTGTATAACCCAGAATGTCACAGAGAAAAAGAAGAAAACTTAAAATCAATATTGTCTGGGAGAAATTTCTCCAAATCATAAATCTGGCAGATTAAGACAAACATACCCGAGCTCTGACATATTGTCTGTATAACCAGACTTTAGTCACAAGTTCAGAGTCAGTGCCTAGCAGAGAACAAAAAAGTCATTTTGTTACTACAAGGGTGTACTTTTCTCTCTATGTCCTTTCAGTGGAATAAACCCCCAGAGAGAAACACGGCCCAAAGGTACTGACTGGGGCATATGACGACTGTCTGATTTAGTTCTTACAGCTAAAGGCACTGTAAAGGGGGATGCAGTTAGGGAGAAATTCTCCTAATAGCTCAGGCTGTGCTCTGTATCTTAGAAAATTCAATACCTGTTATTTACCAGTTCAGCAAATCAGGGGACAAAATAGCATGGATAGGAAATTTTCTACCTCAGTAGAGTGTGGAGCTGAAAATGGAACACTCATCATTGGATTTGAGACGGGGCTTCAAATTACCCAGGAAGAAATGCAACAGGGGCATGAGTACCTTATATATTTTATTTATTGACTTTATATAAAAAAATGAGAAAATTAAATATGCAATCTATATGTAATCTTACAATTATGTTAGAAAAAGTTGAAAAGTTGAAAGGAACATTATCCTGAAGATCCAGACAATGCGTTATTCTAAGCAGAAATGGCTTTTATGAGGCAGACAACTGGTGAAGAGAATGAAATTGATATGAACAGGAAAAATATATGGAATCCCATATTAAAATTTAAAATAAAATTTAAGGTTATCTATATATCAGTGGTAATGAATATAGAAATAGGTATTTCAAAAAATAGTTGATTGATGAGGAGTAACTTAAGAATCTCATCATGTAAGTAAGAAGATAAAG
The DNA here is from genome assembly GCF_000001405.40 of Homo sapiens. Classification (NCBI taxonomy): domain Eukaryota; kingdom Metazoa; phylum Chordata; class Mammalia; order Primates; family Hominidae; genus Homo; species Homo sapiens. Next base: position 19,659,399 of record NC_000010.11, on the reverse strand, counting down.
ACAATGATTTAATCCCTTTGTGTTTCTGTTTGCTTATTTGTGAAATACACAAACATAATAGTACCCATCTCCCAGGACTATTGTAAGTCTTACCTCATTAAACACATGAAAGTGCCTAGAACTGTACATATTACACACTCTATGAATATTTGCTATTATTACCATAAACGATCATTTTATTAAGCTCCTAATATATGCAGTGTATAGTGCTAATTATTAGAAGTATAAAGGCTAAAGCAACTGACATATTGACAAAAGTTGTTCTGATAACTAGCAGAAGACTGAAATAGGAAGAGCTCTCTGTCCTAAAATAACCCTGATGGCTAAAGAGCAAAAAGTAGGAAAATACACAGACTAGTCATTTTTTTGGTCCGTTTGGTAAACAGGCAGCTTTCTGCCTTGCCAATTAAAACACTTACAGATAACAAACCATTTGTTTTCCAAAGTAAACGTCTGGCTCAATTGATTTTTCATTTCTTTCTTAAAAAAAATCAAGATTGTTTTTAATGGCATTCTTCTAGGAAAATTCAAGCAGCAATGACTATTGTCTGAGGTAAACCATCAAGAGAGACCGAGCGTGGTTTTCAACTGTGGCCAATGGTACAGTGGAAAAGAAATAGTATGAAATTGGAGGTCATACCAACTACCATGGTAGGTAAATAGGAGAGAGTAATAGAAATTCAAGTTGGCAGGGACCTTAATTGTTCTTCTTGTTCAAGTCCCTGCCTCTGTTTTGATTTACACATAAGAAAGTTGGAGATCAGAGAAGTGAATTAACTGGAGAGAAATAGCCCAGCTTTTGACAGAGCAGTTATTAGGCCAATAACTCTTGACCCTTACTTAATATAAAGATCTCTCTAATATTCCAAACTGGGGTGTGTGTTTGTGTGTATGTGTGTGTGTGTGGTGTGTTTTCCTAACCACTAGACTACCAGGGATAAACTGTTTAGCTCTCCTGCTCTCTTTCAAAAGCTAAAATATCTTTGATGCTTGATATCTACAGAACAGAAGCTTCAAATAACTTCTATATGCATTATTTTTTTCAGATCTCAGAATAGCCCTATGAATCACCCAAGGCAAACATTGTTACCACATTTTACAGACGAAGATATCAACGTTTAAAGAGGTCTCAAAAGCAAAAATAGCAGAAAGCAAGATGTGTAGACTTAATGAATGTATAATGGAGATTCTTAATGTTTTATGACTTGTACATTTTGAAATTAGTGGGTTTTTTTTTGTTTGCTTTGTTTTGAGATTGAGTTTCGCTCTTGTTGCCCAGGCTGGAGTGCAATGGCATGATCTCGGCTCACAGCAACCTCTGCCTCCTGGGTTCAAGAGATTCTCCTGCCTCAACCTCCTGAGTAGCTGGGATTACAGGCATGCACCACCATGTCTGGCTAATTTTTGTATTTTTAGTAGAGACAGGGTTTCTCCATGTTGGTCAGGCTGGTCTCAAACTCCCAACCTCAGGTGATCCACCCGCCTCAGCCTCCCAAAGTGCTGGGATTACAGGCATGAGCTGTTGTACCTGGCCAAAATTAGTCGTGTATTTAACTAATTATTAAATGCATGTGTATATAATCTATATTGTTTGATTCTTCTTTCTTCATTCCTTTATTTTTGAAATAACAAAAAAACCCTGTGAGGCTATAGTCAATAATAATTAACTGTTTAATTTAAAATAGCTAACAGAGTATAATTGGTTGTTTATCTCAAAACATAAATGCTTGAGGTGATGGATACCCAATTCTCCATGATGTGATTATTATTCATAAATGCTTTACCAAAATATTTCATGTGTCCCATTATATATATGCCTAATATTTAACAACAAAAATTAAAACTAAAAAAAAATGTTAAGAAAAAAAATCTCAATTCTGTAATTTACTGTCTTTGTAGTCATTTCTCAGTATGTAGGGAGGGCTCCTTCTTGACTGGGTTTCCTGACCCCAGATACAGATGCCCCTGATGTGGACCCCTGGGCTGGAGTGTGTTCTTCCTGGGTTCTTCTGGAAAGCCACTCTGAGCTCTGAGTTTTTAAGAAACAGAAAGCAAAGACCTGAAGATTGAGTATGGAAGAATGTACACAGTTAGGATGTGGGAAAGGGGAGCTTATTCAACAAAGAATAAAAATTCAATTAGTGTAAAGGCCAGATTAGTCCACAAAGCAAAAGCTGAAGATAGGTCAGAGAGAGAAAAGACTGAATTAGCTAATTAGGGAGTGGGCGAAGGGTCGGAACACCTTTGCCAGTGCACCACAGTATCAAGGGTAAAGGAATGAAAAGACTGTGAGAGAATGAGGATAGCAGCTGTGATCTATAGATTTGAAAAATTTGGTGGATGGAGGGAAGGATACAAAACCATCACTTACCATTTTGGCAAAATATTATTCGATCCGTATCTACATTGGTGCAATACATTGATTTAGTAGCAACTATGCTCTTAGATCCTCTAAATTAAAAATAAAAACAAACCAGATCGATAGATAGCTCACAACAAAACTGCAAGTGCTTGTAAGCAGAGTGAATAAAGGTATTACAGCAAATGACACTGTGTGTGTCATAATGAAAAGAGTCCCAAAATAAAATGCTTCAAGAAGACAAGGTCAAGGTCACTACTGGACAAGCTGATAGACACCCTAATGAATAAATGGTTGTCTGCTCTAAAATCATCATACCACTCATAAAGCAGGTATACAGCTGAGAAATGTTCCCAGAATGCCAAATTTGTATCTATTGGGAAAGTTTTTGCAAGATTACATGGAGGCTGCAGATAAATATACAGGGCAAAGGTTAATTTGAGTCAGACAGAAAAAAAAAATGTTTGCTGTGTGAAATACTGCCAGGGTTGCTTGGGCCACAGTAGCAAAAGGAATACTGAGAATGAATGGTGGCCCTTCAGCAAGAAGTAATTGGCCCTTATTATTATTCTAAATCATATTTAATAAAGAAAAACACTTATTTATAGAATTAGTAAATTGGAAAGTTTAGGTGAATGTATCTGATTATTGTTCTCACAAAACACTAATTATAAGAGGAATATATAGGCTATTGTAAATAACAGCAAATAAAGCACTCTAAAATAATTGAACTTTCATAGATATTTTTCAAATATGAGTTTATAAGTGGTTAGCATAAATAAATCCAAGAATGGCTTGGAGTCTCTAAACACCTCAAGTAGTATTAGGACTCTTCTATTTGGGTTAAGATATCAGATACTCTGCTTTTTGATAAGTTCTGAAAAATGGTAGAGTTTTCCTTAGTGCAAATCCACTGAAATAATTATAAATCATTTCAAGAATTGAGCACTTACTATATACTGGCATTGTTTTACCAATATTCACTCATTTAATCCTTACACTTAAACTCTGAGATGGGTTCCATTACTATCTACAATTTATATATGAGAATATTGAAGAGAATGTGATTAACATGTCCAAGCTCCTGCAGCTAGACAGCATCAGAGCCAGGTACCAACTGAGACACTCTGTCCTCAAATTCTATACACTTAATCAGCTAGATGGCATCAGACCCAGATACTTACTCAGACACTCTGTCCCCAAATTCCATACACTCTACTGCCTGAAATCAATGAAGGTAAGTGTGTGGCCCTTTAGCAGAATAGAAATATGTAGAAATTGGCAGAAGGTAAATCAGAGATGTGGTAATAATGAGTCTTTCTATTTCAATCACTACCTACTCTAAAAGAAAATCTTTATCCTAGTGGTATTTTTTTTCGACAATGAGTATGTCGTATGTCTAGATATATCTCACAAAGCAATTATGTTATATTTCATGTATAATTAGAATTGTGAATAAAATTATCTCCATATATATATATATATATATATATATATATATATATATATACACTCACACATATATATGTACACACACACATATATATGTACACATACACATGTATATAACTTCCTGGGATCTCTAGGCTCTTTGATGTCAAGAATATCTTCAAATCAACAATAATTACATTGAAGAAAGTAAGATCTGGAGGGCCAAATCATATGGAGAAATTGGGGCCAGAAATGGTTTATAAAATTACTTGTCTCTTCCTGTCATTCAGGCATACTAAGGACAAACTTCTAGAAACAGACCCTTTTTCTCAAGTCTTACTGCAGAAATTTAAAAAGTCTCCAATTTGCATTTCATTTTCAAAATTAATTTGACCAAAAGACTGTGGGAGAACAACAACAACAACAACAACAAGAACAAAAAACAACATATGCATGTTTCTTTTTGATCTCAAATGCAGTTTCTATAACCTTTGCAGCTTTATTCTGTCTACAGATTCCTATTCTTCATGATTCTTATTCCATAGAACAGGGCAAAGTATTGACAAATTGCATCGTGTTTGTTTCTAAAATGCATATTTAGTTTCATATAATTCTGATTTATTTAAACTTATTATTAATAGGAAATAATGTGGCACTTCTTTAATCCCTACTGAACTCAAATAGCTCATCTTCATAAGATTTTTATGCAGCAGGTGGGGTAGGAAGCTGAAACAGTCCATAAATATGTAAGCGTCCAGCCCCAGCACACACAGATGTGTCTATCTTTTACATTCCTTTCTTGTGTCTAATTCTCTTGGTAGCCACTTCCTGATTTCCCTTCTGTGCCTGGATATTTTCAGCTTCAATTTTCGTTCTGTCTCATTTGTATTTTACTGTACTCAACAACAAAGGTAGTTTCTTTCAGGAACTTTGTTTCCTAAGCTCTTTTTACTTTAAGAACATTGGATTTTAGATTCAACTGAAAGTTATTTGTTAGCAATTGAGAGTAAGCGAAAGCAAAGAAAAGACAGTCATTTACTACCAGCAAAGGTTTCCTTTCTCAAATATAGTCAGAACAAGCAACTTCACTATTTAATATGACTCTCCTTTTGGATTCATCTATGTAGAGATATTGATAATGGTCATTTGTCCCAGCTGAAGTCAGCCTTTATATTTGTTTCCATTGATGCTTGCACTATAAATCATCAAAACACTGAAAAAATTAAACAGACATTTACATACAGGCTTGAATGATGACTGTGTTTGGTTAAACGTGTTCTGCTACACATCTTGTTAATAAGACATGCTAAAAAAAACCCCACTTTTTTGATAAAATTGTTTTCTTTCCCTTTTCTTAATCGTGGCTTAGTCTTTTATCCATCAAATGTGTTTGTTCCCACTGGATGGAGGATGCTAGGGGATGTATCATTCCTGCCAGGTAGATGGCAGTGCTTATGGGAGGTGATAAATCATTTTGTCATTTCAAAAAAATCACAAATTCATCTGCTCCCACAGGAGACAATATTATGCTTTAAATAGCTATGGCTGCCTATTTTTAATGTGGCACATGTCAGGAAGCTACTCACTGTATTAATGATAACTCTGCTCATTGTTAACAAAGAGTTTAATTAAAAAGTTAACGCTTGTGATTAGTGGCACTTGGATTTCACCCATCTGGATGACTCTGGGTTGAGATGTAGAATCATTTCTCAGCAGCAAAGGAGTGCCCAAATTAGCTCTCCATCATAGTCTCAAAAAAATAGAGGAGAAAGACAAGACCTGATAGTGGAAAAATTACTGAAATGGATCACCATGGACCACCAAAGAATAACTTTGATATTACTCTGAAATTTACGTAGACTATTTGGATGTTGCCTTTGAGTTACCTGCTTACAGAAGAAGTTTGAAATTACTCTGAAATTTACATAGACTATTCGGACATTGCCTTTAAGTTACCTGCTTAGAGGTAAGAAACAAAGTCTCCCAGAGGCAAGAAGAAAAAATTAAAAATGAACAAATGAAAACTTCAACACAAGAGGACATAGAAACTTTAAGCTCCTTCCCAAGGATTTCTTTCTGCTACTATTTCTGTTTCACTTTTAAACCTATGGAACAACAATTTAGATCTGAGGAAACAAAAAATCTTGCTTTGGGAGGCTGAAGTGGGTGGACTGCTTAAGACCAGGAGTTTGAGACCAGCCTGGGTAACACAGTGAGACCTCCCTCTTTCTAAAGAAATTCAAAAATTGGCTGAGTGTGGTGGTGCATGTCTGTAGTCCCAGCTACTCAGGAGGCTAAGGTGCGATGATCACCTGAGCCCAGGATTTTGAGGCTGTAGTGAGCTATGATTGTGCCACTGCACTCCAGCCTGGGTGACAGAGTGAAACTCTGTCTCAAAAAAAAATAATAATAATAAAATATAAAAGAGAAATCAGCAAGAGATGGAAACTGATCAGATGTTTCCAGCTGCTCAGGGATGAAAGAAAATGAATGGCTTCCCAAAACACTCAAGACTGCTGATTTGTACAATAGACTGCTAGGAATAATGGCCTCTGAATAAGAGAGGCAGATACATTAGAAGGTTTTGCAAGATGATGTTGAATTCAATCTTAGACATACTGATATGTAAATTATGCCCATGGTGATTCCTCCTGGAGAGTTCTAAATGAATGTCTGGCACTTAGACAGATTGTTGAGAAAGAAGCAACGTTGCATGGTGGCAGGAGCCAAAGCTTTTTGTCAGACTGTCTTTGGTTTGAGTCTCTGCTCTACAACTTACAAGCTATATGATCTTGATAAGTTATTTAAATCTGTAAACCTCAGTTTCTTCAACTATAAAATGGGAACAATCTCTAACCCTAATGTTTATATAAAGAGTTAGGTAATGTATGACAATCACAGGGTATACAATTTCCTGGTAAGCTGGTAGTTCTTAGGTGTTGGGGTTACAGGTGTGAGACACTGCACCCAGCCAGTTTAATCACCTCTGGACAAATCCTCCTTGCTTCAGTTCAGTACTGACCCACACTTGGTTCACAGAGCATCTCCCACAGCACACAGTGAATTTCATAAAACTCAAATCCCAGAATATCTCTTCCCATTTCTCCAAGGATAAAGCTTATACTCTTTACAGTATCATACGCAAACTTTCATGATCTTGGTACTATCTACCTTTGAAATTTCACCTTCCATGCCTCTCTCATATGGGCCACATACTCGAGCACTACTAAACTACTTGCAGTTTGAAAATTATGCTTTGGCACATTTGGCTCTTTCTTCTCAGAACATGTAATTGCTTGCCTATTTAGTAAGCACGTATTTATTGTTCAATATTCACCTCAAGAGTGCTTTAAAAATGAAGTGGGAGGACAAACCAACCTTGTATGATAAAATTGGACACACCTGACACTTGCTTTTTTGGTTTCCACATCAGCCAGGGTGTTGGCACGTGACACAGGCTGTGCCAAGAACAGGCTCTCATCCTGGACTTTGAATTTGGATCCAGTGATGCTTCATGGTCACCCTCGCTGGCCCTGTTGGCAGTTTCATCAGTTGTCAGCTTCTGAGACAGTATCGCCCCAAGGCTAGCCCTAGGTTCAAGTCGCAACCACACTGGTGCCCCTTCTCCATCAGCTCTGTGGCATCAATTTGGCCCTTGTGCCTGGCTTCATAGACCCCAAGCCTTGTTCTCCAGACCTCCAAGTGTTTCTGTGGGTCATGCAACATTAAGAAAAACAAAATTCTTCCTCTGTATTTAAATTCGTCAGAGTCATTTCTGTTGCTTGTAACTAAGAGCCCTGACATCATGCCCAGACAGAATGAATCAAGCCCCACTCTCTGATCTCATGGCATTCTTTCTACAGTGCTTACATGTCTTTTACAGTGAGATGTTGTGCAATATCTCATTATATTGTGGCTCTGTTGCTCATCTGTCTCTCCCATTATATTAACCATCTGAGAGCTTGGATAATTGCCTTCTTTATGTTTTTATCCACATCTGATCCCAGGTCCTTGTACATAATAATGCTCAATAAGTGTTGTTTGTTTGTTTGTTTTGTATGAGGGAACTATTTAATGAATAACTGAATAATTGTGGTTTCGAAGTAGTCTGCTTTTTCACGTTATGCTTTTTTTCCCTTCAAATAATGGCCTTCTTTTAAAATAAGAATAATATGTAAGTAGGATGCATTGGCCTACCTTAAATCATTATTTATATTGTTTTCTAAAGACACATAGTTGAGGGATGAAACAATCCCTTGTTTTTAATTTAGAAAGAAACATTAACTTTTCTGAAGTTAGATAAGAACTAGATCACCATAGCACATCCCAACATATTCAAGGATGCTCCAGTCCCAATCAGTTTTACTAACTAATCTTCAGTTAACTAGAAATATCAACTTCCTAACCACGATAGTTAATTAAAATATTACTGTAACTAAGATAGTAACTAAATTCTTTGGACTTGTGGCCATTTAACAATTTTTTAAACAGAGAAAAAGAAGAGAAATGGTATTGTGTAAAATATGCCATTATTGACTTTAAGTATTCCATTTGGGTCAAGAACAGAGACCATCTTTTGATATGGACAAGGGATTCTAGAGATAGTGGGGAGACTGGCTTTCTATTATCCACTCAGTGGGTTTGGAAACCACTCCTGATGCATTCTCTAATTTGCAGTACACTCTCCTGCTGTCAGGATTGACTGTCAGGCCAAAAGGACACCTGTTCTCACTCTTAGTAGAAACTGCTGCTAAACCGCTGATACTAAACCTAATAGGAGACAAAGGAGGCAGCTCGGAGAGCCTGAGCTGAATTGAAAGGTGCTTGAGAACTGGTTGGAAATCTGGAATGTTAAGACGTATTAAAATGCGATTACAGAGACATTAGTTCAGGCTGCAATCTACTTTTATTGACTTTACACCTCCCTATAATTGAGAAACTCCCTATCTCCTACTTTACAAATGTAATAAATTCACAACAATATAATTCCATTTCCCCACCTCATCATTATTTTGCTATTATTATGTCTCTTACTCTACATATTTCCTATTTCCTACCTAACGAAGTTACAGAAAACTTATTACAGATTTTCTATAAGGTGTTAGTTGTCTTTTAAGGAAAAATAAGGAAAAACAGCATAGTCTTCTACATTTATTTCTTAATTGCTATTCTTGATGCCTTTGTTTTTCTCTATAGATGCACGTTTCCATTTTGTATTATTTCTCTTCAGCCTGAATGTTATTTTTATGCATTTCTTATAGTAGACAGCTGCTGATGACAAATTTTCACAGTTTTTGTCTATCTGAAGTTGTGTTGTATTTCATGTTCGCTTTCAGTGATATTTTTATTGGACAATTCCTTTTTGCTTCATCACTGTAGACTTTTTCAGATAGGATAATTTCTGTCTTCAAAGCCACTGAATCTTTATTCTGCCATCTGTAATCTGCTAATCCTACTCAGGAAAATTTTCAGTCCAATTATTGACTTTTCAGTTCTAGAGTTTCCATTTTGTTCTTTTTTTATAATTTCCATTTCTCTGCTAAGATTCCATATCTGCTTAAAAATTAAGATCATACTTTCCTTTAATTCTTTGAGCATATGACAAAAACAAGCAATGGGGAAAAGACTCCCTGTTCAATAAATGATGCTGGGATAACTGGCTAGTCATATGCAGAAGATTGAAGCTGGAAACCTTCCTCACACCATATATAAAAATCAACTCAAGATGGATTAAAGGCTTAAATGTAAAACAGAAAACTATAAAAACCCTGGAAGACAAGCTAGGCAATACCATCCTGGACATAGGAATGGGCAGAAATTTTATGACAAAGACACCAAAAGCAATCACAACAAAGGCAAAAATTGACCAATGGTATCTAAACTAAAGAGCTTCTGCACAGCAAAAGAAACTATTAACAGAGTAAACAGACAACCCACAAAATGGGAGAAAATATTTGCAAACTATGCATCTGACAAAGGTTTAATATCCAGAATCTATAAGGAACTTAAACAAAGTTACAAGAGAAAAACAACTCCATTAAAAAGTGGACAAAGGACATGAACAGACACTTCTGAAAAGACATACATGTGGCCAAGAAGCATATGAAAAGAAGCTCAATATCACTGATCATTAGAGAAAGACAATCAAAACCATATGAGATACCATCTCACACCTGTCCAAATGGTTATTATTAAAAAGTCAAAAAATAACAGATGCTGGTGAAGTTGCAGAGAAAAGGGAACACTTATACACTATTGGTGGGAGTATAAATTAGTTCAATTATTCTGGAAAGCACTGTGGTGATTCCTCAAGGAGCTAAAAGCAGAACTACCATTCAACCCAGCAATCTCATTACTGGGTGTATACCCAGAGGAATATAAAGCATTCTACCATAAAGACACATAAACATGAATGTTCATTGCAGCAGTGTTCACAATAGCAAAGACATGGAATCCACCTAAATGCCCATCAATGACAGACTGGATAAAGAAAATGTGGAAGACATCCCATGGAATATTATGCAGCCATAAAAAGAACAAGATCATATCTTTTGTGGGATCGTGGATGGAGCTGGAGGCTATCATCCTTAGCAAACTAACGCAGGAACAGGAAACCAAATACTGCATGTTCTCACTTATAAGTGGGGGCTCAATGATAAGAACTTATGAACCCAAAGAAGGAAACAACGGGCACCAGGGTCTACTTGAGGTGGGTGAGAGGAGGGAGGGGAGCAGGAAAGATAACTATTGGGTACTGGTCTTTATACCTGGGTGATGAAATATTATGTACAACAAATCCCCATGACACACATTTACCTATATAACAAACTTTCACATTTACTCCCAAAACTATAAGTTTAAAAAATTGTTTTAGCATATATACAAAATAGATGGTAACTGCAATAATCAGATATTTTGGAGTTGGTTTGTATTGGCTGCTTTTTTCTTTGACTAAGGGTTACCTTTTTCTGAATCTCTGTAAGTTTGTATTCACTTGATCTGTAGGTTATATACTGGAGATACTTTGGTCATCTTCCTCTGAAAAGTGTTGATGTTTTTCTCTAGCAGACCTCAGTTGTTCATTTATTGGTTGATTATCTTGAAACTTGTGAAAGCATGGTTTTAAGCTATGATAGGGCTGATCTGTGAAAGCCTAAGGGGTTTTCCAAGCTCCTCTAACTTGGTGGACTCAACCTCCAAACTTTCCCTGGTGCATCTGTCAAGGTTTGATTTTAGTCTTTGTTGTAATGATCTATGGAATAGGCCTTATTCTGGGGTGTGATTCTTAATCTAAAGTAAGGCTTTATCTTGTCACAGATTTTATGTGTCTTGAATGAATACCAGTGATGCTAAGAAATGTGTTAATAAGATCTTTCTATTTGGTCATGTTGGACTTCCAACACCTGTCAGAACTGCTTGATCTCTAGTATTTCTCTTTCATTTCTTGCCCCACAGCAGTTTCTCTCTGGTAACCCTTGAGGAGTTTTGCACTGTGCATGTGGAACACAGCCTTCACATTCTTCTAGGCCTCTCTTCTGCAGAGGTTCCTCCTCCCTGAGTCCTGCTTTGCAAATTCCAGTAGCTCCAGCTTCCCTAGTCATCATACTCTGCTTGGACACTTACATTCTGTGCCACAATTGGGAAATTATCCCCAGGCAGAGAGTCTGCAAAATCATGGGACTTACCTCCTGAGTTTCTCTTCTCACAGGGACTGCTGTGTGGTGCAGCCCTCTTGTCCAGTGTTGGAAAAAAGTTGTGTCATGTATTTTGCCTAGTTTTATGGTTGTTGAAAACAAGATGGTTAAGTCTTATGTGAGTTATTCCACAATAGCTGGAAACAAAAGTTCTAATATTTCATATTATTGACGTAATGACTTCATTTAGTCTATCTCTTGCCAATCTTTTTGACACATAAGATGTCAATATCCCAGGTTAAACCAGTTGGACAGTTCTTGCTCTATCAGTTGCACAACTTACTTAGGTTCTCCCTATATAAATTAGATTACCATATGTCCTGGTTTACTTGGGACAGTGTTGCTTAATTTGTCCTGGCTAAATTGTGACCCTTTCAGATCCAAGTATGTTCCACTTTCCACCTTAGAAAATAAATCACTGGTCACTTTACTCATCTATTCCTATTCCTCTTCAAGTGCAGCCCATTTGTAACAGTCACTTTCCTATGGAAGGCCTACTTGCTATGTACTCCCAAGGAGACTGGGCGTGGTAAGCTCCTCTACCTTGGTTTCCCTCTAACAGGCTGGTCTAATAGTGGTGTGCTAGGAATAAGCAAAACACAGTAGAAATGGCATACTTAATTGTGAGACATCAATTAGATTCAATGAGTTTGGAAAAACATTGCTATCTAAAGATACATGCAGATAAAATAGGGCGTACATTGCAAATTTGCGTGACTTTTTCCAGATAAAACAGGGCACTTTGATGAAATGTCACATTTGCAAGGAGCTGCTTCAAGCTGTACCCTCAGATTTCTCCAGGGAAGTGCATTCGTTTCTTCCTGATGCTAGGGCTCTGTTGTTGAAACATATTAAGAAACACTTCTAGGTCACCTGAGGACATTTTTCAAGTTTCATCCAGCTTTTTAAAGTGATCTCTGTTCCTTTCTCCTGTCTGCTCAATTACCTCTCATAGGTCTTTGATCACTCAGTGCTCAGCAGAGCTCAGTTAGGAGTTTTCAGTTAAGGATTACACCTCCAGCACATTTCATATCTTAAACTACAATGCAATGCCTTCTGTCCCTTTCTTCTGTCACAAATGAGAGTGAAACATGTGTTATCTCTCATTCAACACATAAAACAACTTTATAAAAATGAGGATTATCATTAGCATTATATATATTTTTTTAAAGCACACATTTGCCAGACACTGTTTTGAGTGTCAGGGATACAGAGATAAACAGTACTTACCTCCTATTGTTGATAAACTAATAGAGCCTAACAGAAGAAACTTCAATACCTACTTTAAACTTATTATTTTTTTTTTTTCTTGAGACACAGTCTCGCTCTGTCACCCAGACTGGAGTGCAGTGGTGCGATTTCAGCTCACTGCAACCTCCGCCTCCCAGGTTCAGGCAGTTCTCCTGCCTCAGCCTCCCAAGTAGCTGGTATTACATGTGCGTGCCACTACACCCAGCTAATTTTTTGTATTTTTAGTAGAGATGGGGTTTTGCCATGTTGGCCAGGCTGGTCTTGAATTCCTGGCCTCAGGTGATCTGCCCCCCTCGGCCTCCCGAAGTGCTGCCATTATAGGCATGAGCCACTGGGCCGAGCCCTAAAATATTTTATGATCTACAACTATTTTGGTCATTGGTTAACCAAAAGCTGGAAATGATGTAGTAGATCAGACAGTGTAGAGAGTTTTCCTATTAGTAACCCCAGCCAGCAGCCCCTACATGCCAACACTCTTCCTAATGAACTGCTGCAAAGGAAATGCTAACCTTTGGGTAGTCTCAGAGAAAATAAACAAAAGAAGAAACAGTCTCATGTTTTAAAAAGAAAAGAAAAATTTTTGAAAAAACTTTATCCATGTTTATTATAAAAATAATTTGCTTTTTCTATTTCTACAAGCTACAAAACTTACATTTAGTTCACAAGAACAAAAACAAAGGCAAACCAGAATTTGTTTTCGTAGGAAAACAGACAAGTTGTTGTTTAATTTACTATTTAAAAATAAAAAAAAATAATTTGACTCCTATCCATTTCTTTTTTTTTATTATTATACTTTAAGTTTTAGGGTACATGTGCACAACGTGCAGGTTTGTTACATATGTATATATGTGCCATGTTGGTGTGCTGCACCCATTAACTCGTCATTTAGCATTAGGTATATCTCCAAATGCTATCCCTCCCCCCTCCTCCCACCCCACAACAGTCCCTGGAGTGTGATGTTCCCCTTCCTGTGTCCATGTGTTCTCATTGTTCAATTCCCACCTATGAGTGAGAATATGTGGTGTTTGGTTTTTAGTCCTTGGGATAGTTTGCTGAGAATGATGGTTTCCAGCTTCACCCATGTCCCTACAAAGGACATGAACTCATCATTTTTTATGGCTGCATAGTATTCCACAGTGTGTATGTGTGACATTTTCTTAATCCAGTCTATCACTGTTGGACATTTGGCTTGGTTCCAAGTCTTTGCTATTGTGAATAGCGCCACAATAAACGTATGTGTGCATGTGTCTTTATAGCAGCATGATTTATAATCCTTTGGGTATATACCCAGTAATGGGATCGCTGGTTCAAATGGTATTTCTAGTTCTAGACCCCTGAGGAATCACCACACTGACTTCCACAATGGTTGAACTAGTTGACAGTCCCACCAACAGTGTAAAAGTGTTCCTATTTCTCCACATCCTCTCCAGCACCTGTTGTTCCTGACTTTTTAATGATCGCCATTCTAATTGGTGTGAGATGGTATCTCATTGCGGTTTTGATTTGCATTTCTCTGATGTCCTATCCATTTCTTATATACTGAATTCAGAGGTCACATCTAAGATTTTACAAGATATAATGACACTATGAAAATGAGAAAATAAGAAAAATGATCTGATAATGTCTTTGAATTTGAATTAATGTGATTTATTCCAAGTTTTAATCAGTACTAGATAATTGCTTCATTCTATTATCAAAACAATATTAATTTTTACAGGATCTGTTACTTACTCCACATGGACAATAGATTTATGAACTATTGCTTTCTTATCTGCACTAAGAATCTAGTTTTGAGGGTTAAGAGTTATAGGAATATTACTTACAAGTAGACAAATTTGGTTTACATTCCAATTTTGCTGCTTGTTAGCTGCATGACTTTAGGAATGTATGTCTAATCCTCAAATTCACCATCTGAAAGTAACACCCTCATTATTTTTCTTAGAATTAAATGAGACAATGGTGCCTGACTCATAATATTAAAAAATGGTGACCATTTATATTATTATATGTTATATTATCTACTAACACATTTTTTGGGGTCTTGTCATAGGATAAGATCTTGGAAAGTGCTTATCTTTAAGATGGTCCTGATTTAAATCCATTTCATGGCTTAGAATCAGATGCTGTCTTGTATGGAAGGATAAAGTCATATAACCTTTACTTACAGAAGCACAAACTGGCCCCCATGTCTGATGACCGTAACCAAAGCATTTGGGGGCATAAGTTTCTTCTAGCAAAGTAGACTGATAAGGCAGTTGCAGTAAGAACCTTCTGAGCCTCCAGGCAACGTTAATGTCTCTTTCAAATGAATGATGATGGGATTTCCTCACCAGATCAGGTATCTAAAATGAGCTCAGGAAGAGAGTATCCCACAGAATTTCTGGTTCCTGTAGTTAGGGAACCTACAAACCTATAAAGCATTGCCTTTGAATCTTCTCCCTTCTTAACATCAAGAGTTTGAAGATGAGGAGTTTATCAGGGTTCCAGCAGAACACAGAGGACATAGTCAAGTTGGGTTTTTAAGGAGAGTCCATTGAAGGGAATTTTACAAAACACTGGAAAGTTTTAGGTAATGCAACAAAAGATGGAGCAGTATGTTAGGTCAAGTAGCAGTAAAAAGCCGAAGAGGCAAGAGGAGAGAGCTCTTTGAACAAACAGATCTGTAGCAGAGAGCTGCTTGCCAGAAGCTGGCTCTCATTAAAGGACAGTCTACAGTGGTGCAGAAGGAAGGGAGCTGGGGAAGATACTCTCATTCTCCCTCTACCCTCTGACCTTTGCCAGTGCATCCCACTGGCTAATTCAGTTAGAAGCCAGAGGATAAGGGAGCCTCTTGACGCAGCCCAGGATGGCCAGCATTCCAGGCACCGAGTATGGGAGAAGAAAGGGAGAGAATAGATAGAAAACGGGAAACGCAATGCATGCTTCAAGGAAGGGGACAGAATAGGCAGTGTTTCTGGACTTGATACTGTATACTAATAAATATGATTCTACTTAAAACATACTGGTGTCTACACTTTAATTTCATCTGTTATTGGAGTAGTATGGGGGCTCAAGTCAGAATTAGTGCTGATTTTTCTACTCTAATGTCTTAATATGAGCGTCTATTATAAAATTATGTCGAAACTATTGGGCATTTTAGTCAATTAATCAATTAACTTTGGTTAATTGAATAAATAATAAACACAGTCTTATTCATGAATGCTTAAACATTTTTTTTTGAGACGGAGTTTCTTTCTTGTTGCCCACACTGAAGTGCGTTGGCACAGTCTCGGCTCACTGAAACCTCCGCCTCCCAGGTTCAAGCGATTCTACTGCTTCAGCCTCCTGAGTAGTTGGGATTACAGGCACCTGCCACCACGTCCGCCTAATTTTTTTTTTCTTTTTTCTGTATTTTTATTAGAGACGGGGTTTCACCATGTTGGCCAGGCTGGTCACGAACTCCCGACCTGAGGTGATCCACCCACTTCCGCCTCCCAAAGTGCTGGGATTACAGGCGTGAGCCACCGCTCCGGGCTTAAACAATTTTTATTTTACCCACATTACTACTAATTACCACATTACTACTAATTCTACAACAGAGAGAATATAAAAAAAGAGATATGAAGACAACT
Organism: Homo sapiens; assembly: GCF_000001405.40. NCBI lineage: Eukaryota > Metazoa > Chordata > Mammalia > Primates > Hominidae > Homo > Homo sapiens. Next base: position 19,643,053 of record NC_000010.11, on the reverse strand, counting down.
GGACTTGATCACTAGCCACAAGGATGTGATAAGATGGCAACGTTCAAACTAACTACAAAATTACTACAATAATTAAGTCATAGTGTGAATAAAGTCCAATGAGAACCTGAAGAAGGAATTTCTGGAGCCAGTGGTAATAATCCCTTTGTTTGCTCATGCCTATCAGCATCTACTCCCTGAAACCTATTAGAAATATTCTCTCCCACGCCCTCCCTCTTCCCTAACAAATTTATACCCCCTATTAGTAATACATAGATGCAATAATCTTTGACTCTTTCCCTCTAGGCTCTCAAACTTGAGACATTTAATCAAGGACTTCAAATTTCAGAAGCCTCAGATCTTCTCCTAGGAATGTTACCCACACTGAACTTGAGGATTTCTATGCAGAATGTGATTTTTGTTGTTGCTTTCAGATCTTTCTAATTTGTTCCTAGCTTTAGAAGTAGGTTTGTCCAGATAGATGGTAGATATAGTTACTGTACTGCTAATTTTGATATTTTTCCCCCTGTGATTCTATTCAATACATTCTAGCTTGTTTTGTATTATTTTGCTTTTCCTTTATCTTCCACTTTTACTGAGAATGGGAGGTAGCAATGTAAGAGGGTCAACTATGCAGGCAGACTGAGTTTCAAGTAAAGAAATTTGTCATTCTTGTTTGCTTTGGTTAGCTCTTCGTAAGTATTTTCTGTACCTCTGAATGGGTTTCAAAAGCATGAGTACAGTCTCATTAAAAAAAGAAAAATTTTAAAATTACCCATTTGCTAATTCTTGAGATCACAGAGTTCAATATACCTTCACAGAAGAGTGACAGAATTAACTACCAAGATTCATTAGATTTTCTGGAATAGTCTGTCATCTGGTTTCTACAATTCAAGCCAATATGAGAAGATGCATAAACTAACAAGCAAAATATATGTTCTGCTGATATAACCCTTTGAAACTAAGCATGTTATGAACTTTTAATAAATTTAGTTTGGGGTTGAGTTTGTAATGTATCATTTGAAGATATTTCTTAGAAATATTCTCCAAATGATCAAGATTAGTTTTAATTTTGAGGCAGATTATGCATTAATCTTTTTTTTCACTCAAAGACAATCTTTTGACTCCTATTATTCTGAACTACTTGTTATTGCCAATAATAAAAGGACAGAGTTTAGATCTGTGGGTTGTAACACCACTTGGGTCATTTAACATACATGGGCATTAAATTTACAATTTCACTCTGGGGAAGCCATGTCTAGTGACTGGGAAATATTTTGTAAAATACACTTGTAATTAAATTTATGCTGCTTGTACCAGCCATGAAAAATCAACTAATGAGCTTGCATAAGGGAGAGGCAAGCTCACATTATATTATAAATTGAGAAACATAGCCACAATGCTAATTCTTTCCTAACAAAGGTTCTTGACTCCAAGAATATAACAAACGGTTTCTGAAGGTCCTGTTTTTTCCATAATTTATATGTTGCCTCCCATGATATGCAAAGAAGAACTAGAGTCTAACAAAGGGTTCTAAATGATGACCAATATGGTACTGGGGAGAAGACATTTGTTCAATAAGTAAAACAAAATTATACATCTTTCTTAGTGCAGGTGTCTTTTGCTCGTCTCAACCGTATTTTTAAAATAAAGTATTACCCACTACCTTGTTTCCTTTTTGTATTTCAGAGTGCATTCTTTTCTTTTGCATGTAAAGCCTCTGTTTAGTGATCAAAGGGCAATGAGTGGTGTACATATAACTATTGCTTTACACTCTGACATGGACAGTTTATCTATAATATCTTCAGTGTTGCATTATTCGATTATTTTATCTGAGAATGAGGTTTTCAATGCTAACTCTAGAATGTCACTATGTATCTAGCTGTTTGTCACATTCATCCTACCATATTTGCTGTCCTAAAAAAATTACCCGCCATCATAGAGACTGTATTACATTAAATATACCTTTAGGGATGTTTTAATCTGATAAATGCATGCCAAAGGTCTTTTTCACTCATTTAAGCCTATCTTTTTCTGCCAAGGGACCATTAGTAAAAGTGAATATCCAAGATAAATAAATGTACATGGCATTAAAATGATAATATGGGTAGAAAACAATTATTAGATGATTTCCTATTGGATACAAAAACTATTTTTTTCATATACAAAACTCCATTATTCTAACAAATTATTTTATTTGCCTTTTAAACAATTTTCATTAGAAAAACAAGAACTTACTATATCATTTCCACATTTCAGCTATTTTGCTGTGTAATACCACAAATACAGTTATTTCTGGATTGGGTAGAAAGGGGAAAGGAGGAAACTAGATAAGTTCAAAAAATGAAATTTTAAAAGAAACCTTTTTAACCACAGGGTAACAGTGACCTAGAAAGATACAAATTAGAATTAGATGCTGTTGGATACCACATTTTCCAAAATAGTCTAGTGCTAGGAGACTCCATAAAATATCTTATATAGAACAGGGTTAGAGTAGAAAGGAACACGAATAAATGTTATCTCAATTAGCAACTTTTTTGAAATTCCCCACAGACATTTATTTATTTGAAAAAAAAAATTAAAACATACTTTCTTCTCCTGTCTCTTCTTTTCCAGGAATGAAACTGCCTTTGGATGTTGCAATGGGACCCTAAGGAATGTCAGCCAGTGAGTAGAAGACAATGAAGTCCGGGTGCGGTGGCTCATGCCTGTAATCACAGCATTTTGGGAGGCCGAGGTGGGTGGACCACCTGAGGTCAAGAGTTTGAGACCAGCCTGGCCAAAATGGTGAAACCCCACCTCTACCAAAATACAAAAATTAGCTGGGTGTGGTGGTGCACACCTGTAATCCCTGCTACTTGGGAGGCTGAGGCAGGAGAATAGCTTGAACCTGGGAGGTGGAGGTTGCAATGAGCCGAGACAGGGCCACTGCACTCCAGCCTGGGTGACAAGAGCGAAACTCTTTCTCAAGAAAAAAATAAAATTAAAAAAGAAGACAATGAAGCATCCCTTCCCCCATGGTGGGCCTCACAGTCAATGGGGAGTAACTGCATTTACTCCCTATGCATTGGGGGGAAAGAAAGTGACTTGACCCATTTCAGTGGAACCTGCACAGCTTTGCTGTGGACTTAACCTCCATCTCCATTCTTACCACTCCCCACAAAATCCCATATTTTCTAATATATGTAAAATATAGATACAAAGCCACACATCGACTCTTTAGGGCAATGGTAACTCTAGGTTTAATTAATGGTGACTGAAACTACATCTTGCCCTGTTGTGTTAAAAACATTCACATTATCTGTATTCTGAAAATGATACTGTGCTTAGCTTCCCACCAGAGGCATATATGTTGGAAATAGGATCAGAGAGCATACTAACTTTCAACTGCTATACATTTATACTCTTTTAATTTCCTCTCTCAATAAAATCATTTGTATCTGTCATTTCTCACACTAACATGGTGGAAGGCTTGAGATGCACACTAATGGTTCCCATGAGCTACAGGAATGGACCACTGAGATTTAAGTGACTCCTTCAGGGATACTGTGCAGAGTGAAACTCCGATTTTGAAGTGTTATTTTTGTTGCTGATGTCTCAAAATGTATGGTGTGAACTGAGGAAATGTTGCCTTAAAGGGTATGGCATCTCCACGTGTGGTAGGCAGAGAATTATTTTATAGGATTCTTGTGGCGATCGAAGAGATGTGTCTATTTCATTTTAACTCCATCTCAGCCACTTGCCTAATCAAGATCCCTTAGAGAAGACTATATCCTGGAGTGTTCTAGAGACAAATAATAAACTCATTTAAGTTTCACCCATCTGTGTACAGCTGAGTCTTCCTTGATGATATAATGGATACTTTTTCTGAAACAAAAGTTCTGGATCAAGACTATTTTATTTTTCTTTGCTACACAATCACTTTTTGAAGGAGAAAAATATTGCTCATTTTTAAACCCATATGTGTTTCTACATCTGAACTTTTGGACCATGCCATACTTCCATTTCCTAATTTTTACTTTCGGTTTGGTTTTCTTTCTTAGGGAGCTCTGGTTGATTTATTCCCCAACCTTCACCCCGCTCCCACCCCCAAACAACCCCGAGATAAAGCAAATTTTGAGAACTTAGTATTCATGAGGCTTCAATTGCAAAAATAAAACATAAAATAAAATAAAGACAAGCTTCCTATTACGATGGTCACCCACATGACAAAAAGGAAGTTAAACTGTTTGCTGACATGTCTCTTATGGTTTGAGTCTGAGCTCCCTTCTTAGGAGTCTTGCCAAATACTCAGCTTCCACAGACAATCTTCTGTGGGTGGTGACCTCACTGGAATCTGAGGGCAAAGGCTAAAATACATGCCATAATCATTGCAAACAAACCCTAGCTCTGGTGCAGGATTGCTTGACTCACATTCCTGAAGTAGCTGGAAATATGCTTTTTGGACAGTTTAATAGAACAGTAGGTCTCTTCTCTTAAAAACAACACTTCTTCTAGACATTCCACTTCCTGCTTGCAGTACTACCATTTTCCAAGTGATTAAGAAGGCTCAACATACTTTGATTTTTCTTTCTTCTTGATCATCCCTCACTCATACTCAATTAGTAATTCTAAAATCTCTTTTCTAAAATAAACCTTCTGCTACTCCCTTAATGCAGTATCACTTTACTTTTAGATGACTAATAGAGTGTCTGTCACTTTTATTATTTTCAGTCTCTGTAAACAATCTCTCTACTTTCATCCCCACCTCCTTTTGTTTTCCCTGTGTCTGTAACATACTTGACATGTTTATATAATTCATGGAAAATAACAAAAAGGGAAAAAAAGTAGCCTTTGGCATGTGACCTTATTCACAGGCTTTGCTTAGATACTTACCTTATAAAACCTTGGCTGTCCTTTTGTTGACAAATTAGCATGGATAGTTTTGCCATGGGTACCGAATTCTATTTTTTTTTTTTTTTTTTTTTTTTTTTGAGAGTGAGTTTCTCTCTTGTTGCCCAGGCTACAGTGCAGTGGCACAATCTCTGCTCACTGCAACCCCTGCCTCCTGGGTTCAAGCAATTCTCCTGCCTCAGCCTCCCGAGTAGCTGGGATTACAGGCACCTGCCACCACACCTGGCTAATTTTTGTATTTTTAGTAGAGATGGGGTTTCACCATATTGGCCAGGCTGGTCTCGAACTCCTGACCTCAGGTGATCCACCTGCCTCGGCCTCCCAAAGTGCTGGGCTTACAGACATGAACCACCGTATCTGGCTTACCGAATTCTTATATGTGCCACATGATGCTCTCTCCCTAGGATCACCTGGCTGCTTTTCAAGGAAGTGATCTCAAACTGGTTTTGGGAACTACATGTACTTTCACTACTGCATACCAGTGCCCTGACTTAGCCCCAGGTGCCCACCAAGTCATGTGGCTGGATGTTGGCTAAGGCATTTCTTTTTTCTACAAAGTGAATACGACAATAACCTCTCCAAAAATAATTTTAATCATATGGCTTATGTAGTTACACAGCATCAGCAACTCCTCTCTCAACTGGAATTCTGGAGCCGGGTCAACATGGTATCCAGTTTTATCGTGAGCACAAGGGAAAGCTTCTGAACCTCTCTATGACTAAGTCACTTTACCTGGTGACAATTAATCAACTTGATTTTCTAATAATTTACTTTGATTTAAGATTAATCTATACTTCCTTTCTACTGTCCTTAATCATTGTTGATACCATCATTATCTCAAGTCTTATCAAATAAGTAGGATAGTTTTCTACCTCTTTTTTTGTTTGTTTGTTTCTGAAATAGGTGGCATGAAACTGACATTATTGTTCCATGAAAATATGGTAAAGTTTTAAAACCATCAGATATGGGAGTTTGCTTTGCAATTATTTGTTAGGTTGACATATGTATTCTCTTCAATTTTCTAAATGTATATTTCACATTAAAAGGTGAAGGAAAAAGTAAACTTATCAAGTCTTATTGGCCATTTAATAGGATGACTTTTTGGTTATCAATTTAATTTATTTAGGGTGACAAGTTTACTTTTATTTCATCCTAAGTCATTTCTGGTAATTTAAAATTTCCAGATAATTACCAATTTTGTATAGTTTTAAAATTTATTGACAAAATAATATAGTAATGTCATATTTTTTAAAAAAATCTACTCTGCGTTTTTTTTTTTTTTTGAGACAGAGTCTCACTCTGTCACCCAGGCTGGAGTGCAATGGCACAGTCTTGGCTCACTGCAACTTCTGCCTCCCAGGCTCAAGTGATTCTCCTGCCTCAGCCTCCTGAGTAGCTGGGATTACAGGCACATGCCACCGCGCCTGGCTAAGTTTTGTATTTTTAGTAGAGACGGGGTTTCACCATGTTGCTTTGGCTGGTCTTGAACTCCTGACCTCAGGTGATCCACTCGCCACGGCCTTCCAAAGTGCTGGGATTACAGACGTGAGCCACTGTACTGGGCCACTGTACTGGTTGAAATACATTTCAACCCTAGAAATGTATTTTTCTTGTAATTTGGTCAATTTTTACTATACATATTTATTTTGAGGCTGTGTTTTGTGTATTTAAGTTCATGAGGAATTTTTTTTAATCCACTTTTATTCATAAGAAAGATTGGTCTATACTTCTTTTGTTCTGTCCCTAAGCATTGTTGATACCAACATTATATCCCAATTGTTTTGTTTATCTTCATGTTCTCTTTGGGGATAAACTTCTCTTTTTGCTTAAATACTTACCAAGGAATTATTTGCTTTATTGGAAAGTCAATGGGTAGTAAATGTTCCTAACTCTGTTTGGCTGACAATGTCTTTATTTCACCCTCCTGTCTTAATAGAACTAGTTTACTTGGGTATGAAATTCTAGTTTGACAATTTGCCTTAGTATTTTCTTTCTGTTGTCTTCTGATACCTATTGTCCTGAGAGAATTCCATGGTCAATGTAGTTGTTAAAACTATATAGGTAATTTGTATTACTTCTGTGAAGGCTTTTAAAATATTTTATTTTCCAAAAAATTAGCCAGGCGTGGTGGTGCGTGTCTGTAATCCCAGCTACTGGGAAGGCTGAGGCAGGAGAATTGCTTGAACCCAGGAAGAGGAGGTTGCAGTGAGCCAAGATTGTGCCATTGCACTCCAGCCTGGGTGACAGAGTGACGCTGCGTTTCAAAAAAAAAAATTAACAATAAATAAATAACTACAATAAAAAATTAAATATTTTATTTTCCTTGTTTTCCTGCAATTTTACAATATGACAAGGTGTGCATTTTTAGTTTATTTCAGTGTATGTTTTGCATGCATGTGTGTGAGAGCATTTTGTGTGTTAATTTTGAGGTTATTTTATGCAAATTTATGCAAATATGAAATATTCTCAGATATTTTATTCTTTCACTATGTTTAAAAAATATTTTAGCTAAGACTTCTAGAAATCCTAGCAGCCATACATTGTAGCTTTTCCATCTATTCATCCATATATCACATATATCATCACTGTTCTTCTGTATTTTTTAATCTTTTTTTCTTTCCGTGTTGCATTCTGAGTGAATTCCTTAATAATATCCTTCACTTTATTACTTCTGTCTTCTACTGTATTTAACTTAGAATTGGATTTGATTTTAAATTTCCAGGGACTAGTTTTTATGCCTAATTTTTCTTTAATCAGCTGCTTTTGAACTTTTTAACTCTTTTTGTTTCTTATGAACTATATTTCTTCAAGTTTTTGAGGATCATAAACACACTTACATAAACACATTTTCAGTTGACTTATTATTTTTATTTTATCAGGAGCATATTTTCCAATTGCTGATTTCACTTTCTGTCTCTGTTACCATGAGAGTTTACTATCTTGGAGTTTTATTTTTGGGCTTCTCTTGAATTGAAGTTTTCTCCCTTATGATGTTTTTCTATGAAGTGATTTTAGGGTTACTTTCCTTAGGTTTTCTTCCATTCTCCAGTTAAGTCTTTTGCTGTTTCAAGGTCCCTGTGCTGCCATCACCTTAGGGATTATTCCTATAAAAGGTTTGATCCAAGTACTAGTTGCAAGGCAGTCTGTGATCCTTGCCATGACAAATATTCAGTTCTGGAAAAGCTACAGATCAAGGCAAAATTTTACCATTTCTTCATTCTAATTTCAGGGGTACAGGATGTTGCTTGCACATCCAGTTTCATCTGGTGAACCTCTATTTCACCAACCTGGAAGCACTTTTTGTTGATTCTCTTAGTGGAGTGAGATGTCCAGCCAATTTAGCTTTGTTGTTGTTGTTGTTGTTTTTCAAATAGGTCTGTGGCATCTAACTCTTCTTGCTAAGTTTTTATAGCGTTCTGACTTCTTACAGCCTATGATTATTTTTTAGCTGTGCAACCACGTTGAGGTCCCTGGTCTAGTTCACTCTGCTTGCTTTCCAGATGAGTATTACGGAAAAGAGTGCTGTGAGCTTAGCCCATGTGTATTTTTTCCTTTCTTACCAACAGAATCCAGAACAATGCCGAGCTGAAGATCTAAGTCTCCATATTCCGCAAGCATGACTTTTCGAATACAATTTAAAATAGAAATCCATTTTGTCTTCCATGATCTTTAAACCTGCTACACTTGAATAACATTTCTACTAGATCTCATGACTTCCTTGATCACTCTTGGGTAAACCAATAATGTGATGGGCACTCTAAGTCACAAAAATGGGCCTAATTTTGGTGATTTAAATGCTCAGTCTTGCGTAACAACAAAAGCCTCAAATTTAGCAGCATTTCTTCCCCTCCAGAAGGTTGATCATCGACTAAGTAGGTGAGCTGACATTTTCGTTCTTCTTCAGCTACTCCAGTCCCAGTGTCTTCTGCTCATCTGGCATTGGAGTCTGGGAAAGCAGCAGGAAATGAGAGGAATAACTTTTTGATTTCAGTGTGCTTCCGGTTCTCTGGGCCTGGCAGGTATTTTAAGAAGAAACTGTGTAGCCGGGTGGGGTGGCTCATGTCTGTAATCCCAGCACTTTGGAAGGCCGAAGTGGGAGGATCACTTGAGGTCAGGAGTTCAAGACCAGCCTAGCCAACATGGCAAAACACCATTTCTACTAAAAATACAACAAAACTAGCTGGGCCTGGTGGCATCCCCCTGTAGTCCCAGCTACTTGGGAGGCTAAGGCAGGAGAATTGCTTGAACCCCAGAGGTGGAGGTTGCAGTGAGCTAAAATCTTCCCACTGCACTACAGCCTGGGTGACAGAGTGAGACTCTGTCAAAAAAAAAAAAAAAAAAGAAAGAAAAGAAAAAGAAAGAAACTGTGGCTTATAATCATACTATCCTGAATGTGTTTGAATGTCTGATCTCATCTGGTCTTGTCAAAGCTAAGCCAGGGTTGGGCCTGGTTACTACCTGAATGGGAAGCTTCCTGGGAATACCGTGTGCTGTAGGCTTAAAAAAAAAATCTGTAAGTGTTTTTTCACAAGGCTTTTTGGAGTTTCTTTACTTTGGGGTCTCCTCAACTTCTGACAAAACTATTTGGGGAAATCTTTTTGAAGCCACCAGGCTGGCATTACTAATATGGGTAGGATATTCTGTCTGTAGGATTTGTATATTTTTGACCCACTTCTAAGGGGAGAAGTGGAGTTTCCAATGTTCCAGCTACTCTCACTCTGCTTTGACATGATGGGCCAACAGCCACAGCAAATGTCTTTAGATATCTTATGTGCTTGACAAACGTTCCTACGAGCTTTTACTACTGTAAGAAACATATCAATGCTCTCTGGGAAGTCCCCTCGAAGTTAATTACACCGTGCTTCTCCAATGAGGGGGCGTGAAACTCACAACATGGCCAAGAAATCTTGAAAAGTCGTCTCTCTCTCTCTGTCTCTCTTTTTTTTTCTTTGAGACAGAATCTTGCTCTGTTGCCAAGGCTGCAGTGCAGTGTCACGATCTTGGCTCACTGTAACCTCCACCTCCCAGATTCAAGTGATCTCCAGCCTCAACCTCCAGAATAGCTGTGATTACAGGTGCACACCACCACACTCAGCTAATTTTTGTATCTTTAGTAGAGACAGGGTTTCACCATATTGGCCAGGCTGATCTTGAACTCCTGACCTCAAGTGATCCACCTGCCTCAGCCTCCCAAAGTGTTGGGATTTCAGGCATGAGCCACCGTGCCTGGCCCAGAAGTCCACTCTCTTCACATTTCTCTCTCAACACTTTTCATAGCCTCAATGGAGCACAAAAGTTCTAAAAAATCACACTCATAATCTGGATAATCTCTTATTTATTGGTCATTCTACCTTAATCTAAACATTCACTTAACATTTTTTCAGCATATTTCTTAGGAAAATGAGACATATGTAAAAATTGTTGGGTGAGTCCTCTGGTTGAGCTCTTTTTGTTTTTCTGCCCTGTCTTTTTTGGGGTTTGTCTGGAAAGGGGTTAGGGTGGAGCTCTGGGCCCAGCATGTAAGGTTGGGAGAAACATAGATTTGTTTCTGACATCCTTGAATAAGTGAAACAATGTTGGTAATCATTTACCACTAGAATTTTTGTTATCAAAAAAATCATTATTCCTTAGGTTTTTAAGCCAGATTTTTATTTCTAGAAACTGAATGATCTTTATAACTTTTACATATACTAAGATAGAGATGAAAAGATTCACCAGCATCACTATGCTGGCTCAGAGCCTCTTCTATGCCCTATTCAGAGCTCTGGGAGAAAGGAATCTATGGACTGCTTTCCTATCCATGTTGCCTGGTTGGCTGGCTTCCTGCTGTTCTTGGCCTACGGAAGATAGCAACTGGAGATTGGAAGGTGGAAGGACAGAGGATGTGGAATACATTTTGCCTGCTTGCTCCAACTTCTTCACGATGGCAGTAACCAGGTTGTCCTCCAACTACAGATTTTTCTTTGAAGCTCTACCACAGTGCCAGTTCTCATTAGAAGCTAGTTAACCAAGGTCTACTCCTTGTCTCTTTAGATTTAGGCTTTCTACTGCTGCTAGTTTTCTGGAGCCTCAATGTGTTGTTCTTTCAACCTTGCTCATACCTTCATTAAACTAAGAGGCCACTTCATGAAAATTTTGTTATTTGGGCCATCTGGCTTGAATTCTCTTTCTACCAGGTTCCTGACTGATACTGCTATACAATTATTAAGTGCAGCAGCAGAAGAAACTATCAACAGAGTAAACAAACATCCTACAGAATGGGAGAAAATCTTTGCAAACTAGGCATCTGACAAAGGTCTAATATCCAGCATCTATAAGGAACTTGAACAAATTTACAAGAAAAAGCAACCCCACTAAGAAGTGGGCAAATGACATGAACACACTTTTCAAAAGAAGACATACATGCAGGCAACATGCATATGAAGAAAAGCTCAATCACTGATCATTAGAGAAATGTAAATCAAAACCACAATGACATAGCATCTCACACCAATCAGAATGGCTATTATTAAAAAGTCAAAAAATAACAGATGCTGGTGAGGTTATGGAGAAAAATGAACCTTATACACTGTTGATGAGAGTGTAAATTAGTTCAACCATTGTGGAAAGCAGTGTGATGATTCCTCAAAGAACTAAAACAGAGCTACCATTGGATCCAGCAATCCCATTACTGGATATGTACCCAAAGGAATATAAATTGTCCTACCATAAAGACACATGCATGCGTATGTTCATTATAGCACTATTCACAATATCAAAGATATGGGATCAACTTACATGCCAATCAATGGCAGACTGGACAAAAGAAATATGATACATATACATCATGAAATACTATGCAGCCATAAAAAACAAAGAGATTATGTCCTTTACAAGAACATGGATGGAGCTGGAGGCCATCATCCTTAGTAAACTAATGCAGGAACAAAAAACTACATTCCACCTGTTCTCACTTATAAGTGGGAGCTAAATGATGAGAACACATGGACACATAGAGGGGAACAACAGACACTGGGGCCTACTTGAAGGTGCAGGTTGGGAGGAGGAAAAGGATCAGAAAAAAATAACTATTGGTTATTAGACTTAGTACTGGGTGATGAATAATCTGTCCAACAAACCTCCATGACATGAGTTTGCCTATATTACAAACCTCCACATGTACCTCTGAATCTAAAATAAAAGTTTTTCAAAGGGCAGTCAAGACAGGTCTTTTAATTCCAAGGCCAGTCTTCCTTCCCTTGTACATCACAATGTTTCATATACTTTATAGCCAATGAATGACTAATTTAGTTTTATATATTATGATGTTTTGCCATAAAAACAAACCAAAAAATATAGGCAAATACTTGTCAATATAAATATATATTTGTTTGCTAGGGCAATTTATCCTAGTTAAATATATGCTTATAAATACATATTTATATCTATAAAATACCTTTCACTTATTCTTTTTATGTACATAATTTGTGTTCTCTTGACACCATAAAATCCATAAACAATAGCAAAAGACAATACATCATAACTTACATTGCTATGGAGAAAATTCTTATAATATCATTTTTAATTTCAACAAATGGAAAAGAATAATATATGCAAAGCCTTATTCTCATTACTAAAGTCTTTATTCAAACTAAACACACTCTCATTCTAACACTCTAACAGGAAAATATTGCTTTTTGGTTTTTATCTACAGAATGAAAAATGTAATTCTTAGAAAATGTTCTTATTCCAAACTTAGAATTCCCCCTATATATTTAGAAAGCATGCTACCTTAGTCCTCAAAATTGTTAGATGGTGGTAGCACTAAAACGAAAAGACTTACTATGAAGTGATATTATATGTTTTCATTCTGGATGCCCAAACAATAAATTTGAAAGAGATGTATTTTTGAATTCAATACCAACGTGTATGTTTATATAACCATATATAAAAACTCTAACCACTGATCATGAATAGTCATAATTTAACCTTAAACTTAGGAACATAAACCAGTTTCATTATCTCCTTCTTTTCCCTGATGGACATAAGGAAAATAAGTCTTTTTCTGAAAAATACAAAGGGATTTCCTACATGGCAGAATTACAGACAGCAGATTAGGGCAACAGCAAACATAAACTAGTTCTTTCAGAGGATAAGAAAAGTCCCAAGGGGGTTTCAAAATTAAAATGCATTGAACTACTTAGATCTGTCAACATTTCTCTACTAAGAGGGATAAGTTCAAAAAGTTCTACCTCATTTGCTAGATTCTGCTTCTGTAAGGCAGAGATCAGCCACCTAGCAACAGCACAAAAGCTTCTACTCTGACATAGTTAAACTCATGCTGGCTGAGCAGGAAGAAAAGCTGTGTAGGATCAGAGCAGAGCTGGATGGCCAGCCGTTCCAGGGCCACTGGGGAGGCCTGATTGGGGAAATTGTGAAATTCAGTCTGAGGAATAACTTTTTTGTCAGCATTCTTAGAAGCTCCAGTCTCTCGAGCGCCACCACTGAGCTGTGTCTCTTGCTTCCATTCAGTAGAGTGCGTTGGCCACATGCACACACATCACACACAGCAAAGAAAGAAGAGGTGTCATTTTCAACCAACGGCTACCCCATGAAGCTTGGCCGTGCACATACTAGGAAAACTGATAAAGTGAAAACTGTGTAGAAACATTTTCCTATGCAGCTACTTTAGGATGGGTGATGGAGTGAGCTTTTTGAATCTCCTGATTCTTACACTCTAGACAGCTATTTCTTGTTCTCTCTTTTAAAGCAAGTCCTCTGGCATTAGATACTGCCTCACAAATAACCCACCACTCCTCTCGGAGGACAGAAATATCTACTTAACAGTCAGGTCATACCAGAGATCTTGGAAAATATCTGGATCACAAATCCCTGTCAGCAATGACCAGCGAACAGAATCTGGGCCATGCCTTTCCTTAGAGGATGCCCTCCCTGGATGAGTCAACAGGTCATTCATTTGGAAGGCACCAACTGTGAATGCTTACAGCTATCATCAGGAGCCTAAAAACCATTTAATAGCTAAGTGTACAAACATATCACGAGGCTTGCTTTTTGGGAAGGGGTGCAGACAGGGGAAATTAGGTATCACTGTGCTTTTCATTTTTGTGACTCTGTTAGCATATGTGATTGGAGTACAATCCAGCTCTGCAAATTAGGCAGGGAAGAAGGCTTGGTGAGCTGGGCGAGAGCAGTTTGTTGCTTCACCTTCAATCACATTCCTGGTCTGTCTTGCTTACTTGGCTCTGCAGGAGGCAGAAAGTGTGTAATGCTTTCTGACAACACGGAAAGAAAAACTGAGGGACGGGCACATTCATCCGCAGGACACTTTGTTAGAAGCAGCCAACTGACTCTGCCTTTTACTGTAACATATGTTAGTATTTTTAAAAATATAAAAACTCTTTTTTCCTTTGTTTCTTACCTGAAAAATTAGCAACATATGTTTTCAAAAATCTTTTTAATGCTTTTTTAAGTTATAAAAAGCAGTACCTGGTAAAATAAAAATGCAAAAATTCAAGTATGAAATCTCTCTTTCCCCCAAGCCAATCTTCTACAGAGCTCACTAACTATTCTTAACAGTTTGATGTGTAACTCACCAGTTTCCTTTTTTTCTTTTTCATACACAGTTACACATTTTCTCCCTCTCCAAATAGGATCTTAATATACATATTATTCTGGCATTTGCATTTTCACCTAACAATATGGATACTTTTCTATGTCAGGATTTATATCTTCTATTTTAAAAAAGTGTTACATACTATTCCATGACACTATTTGGAACATTTAACTGTGTTTTCAATATGGTGCTATTGCAAAATGCTGAGGCCAATATGTTTGTGTTTATATTTCTTGTTAATATGTTAGTAGGCTACATTCCTAGGATTGGGATTGTTGAATTAAGGAACGTGTATATTAAAACATTGAATGAATATTGCCACTTTATTTTTCCAAAAGTTGTATTTTTCTCCATGTTGTATATTTAGAAAAGCTATAGTCCCACAAGCTATATATAAAAGGGACAGTGTTTCTATAGTCTCATAAATAATGGATATTACCAAAAAATGTTTTGTCACTTTAATAGGTAAAAACAGGATATCAACGACTTACTTTGCACTTATTTATTCATTAGTGCATTTATGCATTAGTGCAATGTGTGTTGACCATTTATTTTCCTTTTTCTGTAAATAATGTTTGTCTAGTTTATCTGTTACATAATTTTGTTTTGAATTTTTTTCAGATGTGTGTTGACCATTTATTTTCCTTTTTCTGTAAATAATGTGTGTCTAGTTTATCTGTTACATAATTTTTATTGTTTGAGTATATATTATGACTAATCCCTAGCTGTTGTGTATCCTGTATATTTTCCTCCTGGCCTGGCCTATTATTGTTTTTTCTTCCTTTTTTCCTTTTTTTTTTTTTTTTTTTAGACAGTCTTGCTCTGTCGCCCAGGCTGGAGTGCAGTGGTGGAATATCGGCTCACTGCGAAACCTCTGCCCACCGTGTTCAAGTGATTCTCCTACTCCAGCTTCCCGTGTAGCTGGGATTACAGGAACCTGCCACCACGCCTGGTTAATTTTTTGTATTTTTTTGTAATTGTATTTTTATATTTTTAGAAGAGATGGGGTTTCATCATGTTGGCCAGGCTAGTCTTGCACCTGACCTCAGGTAATCCACTCTACCTGGCCTCCCAAAGTGCTGGGATTACAGGTGTGAGCCACCGCACGTGGCCCTGTTATTGTTTTTTTGTTGCTTTTTTGTTTGTTTGTTGTTTTTTTCTTAATTTTGTTTATGGTGTCTTTTACCACACTGAATACTTTTAAGCATCATCCATGTGATCAAGTTTTCGAATCTGTTTATCTTTTATTTTACAGCTGCTTACTAAGCTTAGAAAAGACCCTCATACTTCAAGATTTTAAACTATTCTTGTATGCTATTTTCCCAAAGAAATTTTATGCTTTTCCCCTATATATATTTTTAATAATTCTGAAGTTAATTCCTGTGTGTTATGTCAATAATAATTTACATTTTAAATTAATGGCTAACCAATTATCTTAATATCAATTATTACATATTCCAACTCATCCATTCTCATTAACTTGAAAACCACCTATTTTATACTAATTTTAGGTAACCACGTTAAGCTATTTGTAGACTTTTTATTCTTTTCCAAGTGTCTATTTGTCTATTCCTGTTCCAGCTTCATAATATTTATTACAATGACTTTATAGCAAGCTGTATTGTCAAGTATTGTAAATACCATTTCATAATTTTGGCTTTAAGTTTTATTTATTTTTCCAACTGAACATTAAAATCCAACTGCCTATTTCAAAATCAAACAAAAATCTAAATTATTAACTAGATTTAATTAGCCAATGTAATTAATTGGCTAATGGTCATTTGTGCAATATTGAAAATCACTAACTCTAGAAAGTGGTTTGTTCATTTTTTTTTTTTCTATCCATTTATTTAGGTCTTCTGTGAGGGTCCTTCATTTGTGCTTTTCAGCACTCTTTATGTGGGTGATGTGCATGTACTATTCAGTATAGGCCTCTATATATTATAATAATTGCTGCTGTTTCAGAATGGAGCCCTTTTCCAATTATCTAGTTTAATTATTGTTACTACTGGTGAAAAGGAAATTCATCTAGTCTTTTATATTTATCTTATGTCCATCTATCTCGCTGAACCCTGTTTTCAATCTAATAGTATTGCAGTACATTTGTGTGGATTTCCTAGGCTGTCAATATCTGCAAAAATATTTGTTTCTTCTTTTTCAATATGTTTAGCTTCTACTTATTTTGGCTTGTACCTTTGGCTAAAACCCCGTGAGCAAATAGAATAATCCAAGGCCTGGCAGACCTCCCTGACTTAAAAAAAAAAAAAAAAAAAATCTTGATTTTAAGGGAAAATGCCTTCAGTTTTTTGACAGAAAAAATATTGAAATTTTTTGAAGGGAGAGACTACAGTTTTGACTTTTAGATTTCTCCTATGTCCACCAACGTATTCAACTTTTATGCCTATTCTTGGGCCAATTTTAGTAATTTATGTTTCTCTACAAAATTGTCTTTTCCATAAGTTAGATTTGAAAATAATGCACCACCCTGCATGGTCTCTTAAGCTTATTACCTAAAAGATATCTAAATATTCTCCACTTTAAATTGACTTTTTGAAACTTTGGAATGATTTTTCTTTGCAAAACAGTCCAGTGTTATTATGAGGATTTTTGTTAGTCCTTAGCACTTGAGTACTATGTTATATTTGAAAAAAATAACAGCAGAGGCCATGGTCTTAAATTTTGATAATTTGTTCTGTATTCCACCTAGTAAAGAATGATTGTTGGTTGCTACGGAGATGATTTAGCTGATGTTAAATATGCAATTGGCAAACAGATTACTAGTGGCTCCCACTTAGATACACAATTTTTAAAAAACATTCTTCAGTAAAGAAAACAACTATTAATGATATATTTCAGCAAGTGCAGTACCCCCTTTTAATTCACAGCTTCATCATGGCAGAGAAGGTGAGTTTTAAACAAATGTACATTTTCATCTTCGGCCTTAGAGAGAGCTTAGGTCATTTTTTTAAGTCATGGAGTTAGTTAGCAGTGGAGCTCATATCCAAACCCGGGTCTGCCTGTTTTTAGAATCATATCTCTTTCCTTTTTCGTACACTGCACTGCACACAGGATATGATCTGTATGCTTATGGGTTCAGGGAATGTTCTAGAGAGGATATTCTACATTAACTGGGAAGTAAAGGATAAATCTGGAGTTTTTCAGTTAGTCAAGGTGGGGAAGCGTAAAATAGGCAAAAGCAACCATATGAATTTTCATAGGAACAAAACTGCACAGTGTGTTAAAAAAAAGGAAACAGCCAAATGCAAATAAAGTTAAGTTTTAGATTTCCTTTAAGGCATTTTATTCAAATTTGTCCTCATAGTATCATGGAACTCTAGAATCATAAGCCGTCTAGTCAGATCTTCAAAGAGGCAACATCCACAAGGGTTGAGCATAGATCGTGGCCAAAGAACTAGGTTTGAATCTGGACTCTAGCTCTGTTTTATTTTTTGTCTCTGGGAAAAGTACTTAATTTCACCATGTCTCATGTCTCTCTCTCTCTCTCTCTTTTTAAAATAGGCTCTCGTTCAGTCACACAAGCTAAAGTGCAGTATTGCGATCATAGCTCACTACAGCCTGGGCTCAAGCAATCCTCCCACTTCTGCCTCTGAAGTGCTAGGATTACAGGTGTGAGCCACTGTGCTCAGCCTCATCTAAATGTTCCCGATCTTTTTTTTTTTTTTTTTTTTTCCTTTTTTGAGATAGTCTCCCTCTGTCACCCAGGCTGGAGTGTGGAGTGCAGTGGTGCGATCTCAGCTCACTTCAACCTCCACCTCCCAGGTTCAGGTGATTCTCCTGCCTTAGCCTCCAGGGCAGCTAAAATTACAGGCATGTGCCATCACCCCCGGCTAATTTTTGTATTTTTAGTAGAGATGGGGTTTCACTATGTTGGCCAGGCTGGTCTTGAACTCCTGATCTCAAGTGATCCACCTGCCCTGACCTCCCAAAGTGCTGGGATTATAGGTGTGAGCCACCATGCCTGGCCTAAATGCTCCTCATCTTAACTGCTAAATTACACATACTATTATCTGCTCCACAGGTTTATGTCATGACCATAGGCATGTCAAACACATGACATGTAATTATCAACAATAACACACTTTTTAGGTTATTTTAAAATTTGAGTCAAATGAAAGAAAGCTACAGAACAGTTTCAGTGATAACTATATATTTTTTCATTTTACTTTAGCTTTCCCCAGAAAATAACTTTTCTATACCTGGCCCAAGGAATGCTTCTTAACTGTTCTATGTTCCTTTGCATTCCATTGTATGGTTGTATCATATAACAGATTATTCATCCATGGGCATTTAGGATGTTTCCAATATTTTGAAATTATAAAAGCAACAGAGTGAGTAGCCTTATGGACATGTATTTTCACAGTGTTAGAACGGTGCCTACAGAATAAATTCTATAAATGGAATTGTTAGGTCCCAAAGTGAATGAATATGTAGTTTTGTGAGAGATTACCAAATTCACCTCCATGAGAATTACACCAATTCGCATTAGCAATTAGCAAAGTGTGTGTTTCTTCATATCTTTCCTATCAGAATATGTTGCTTATTCAAGAGGTGAGAAATGACATCTTAACATTGTTTTAATTTGCTTTTTTAAATAAATGAATCTTTTTTTCATATATTTATGCATTGTGATGGTTAATTTTATGTTTTAACTGAGCTAAGGGATGCCCAGATAGCTGGTAAAATATTATTTCTGAGTGTCTGTGAGGATGTTTCCAGAAGAGATTAGCATTTTAATCAGTAGACTGGGTAAAAAAGATTCACCTTCACTAATGAGGGGAGGCTTCATGCAACCTACTGAGAGCCCAAATAGAATAAAAAGGTGAAGGGAGAGGGAAGTGGTTCCTTCTTGAGATGGGACAACCATCTTGCTGCTGTTAGACATCAGAGGTCTTGGTTGTCAGTCTTGGGAGTTTGGATGTACACCAGCCATCCCCAGTTCTCAGGCCTACAGCCTTGGACTGGGAGTTAAAGCACTGGCTTCTCTGGTTCTTAGTTCTTCAAACTGGGATTGAATTACATCACTGTATTTCCTGGTTCTTCAATTTGCAGATGGCATGTTGTGGGATTTCCCAGCCTCCATAACTACAGGAACCAATTCTCATCATAAATCTTTGCTTATATATCTATACATATCCTATTGGTTCTGGTTCTCTGGAGAACACTGATAAATAGCAGCATCATTCTCTATATTTTAAAATGAATTTTTTATCTCTTTCTTCTCTGTGACATTCGGGCTTTCCCTGTATATTAAAATAGTTCTTTGTGTATTAGGGATATTTGTACTTTTTCTGATACATGCAACATAAGTATTTTCTCTCAGATTGCCATTTATCTTTTGATATTGCTTTTGGTGGTATTTTTTGTCATTAAAAAACGTTGTTAAAAATAAATTTTTATGTAATTAACTTTATCTGTCTTCAAATGCAATTGCATTTGAGTCATTGAAAAAAAGCTTTTTCCTACATTCATAATATAGAGAAATTTACTGCTTATTTCTATAGTGTGTATGGTTTCACTTCGAACTCTGATTTAAGTGAAGATTATCTTTGTGTATATATAGTGTGAGGTATGGTTCTAATTTTACCCTTTTCCAAATACTTACTAGTTGCCCCAATACTCCCTTTTAAAAAGTTCATCTTTGTCCAGAAATTTGAGATGCCATCTTTTATCATTTACTAAATTTTCATATGTACTTGGATACATTTTTTAACTTTCTACTCTGCTAGTCTGAAATGTCAAATTTTCTATTCAGATGCCTGTATAATACAGTTTAATAATAAGAGCTTTATTCTATTGATATTGGTAGGTTCAGTACTACTGAGCTACAAAGCTCAGTAGTACTCATATTCTCATAGCTTCTCATAGCTACTCAGATTCTCATAGTTTGTTTTTTTTTTTTTCAGTGTTTTACTAGCTATTGTTCCACTCATTTCTCCATACGAATGCAATATCTAATTGTTTACCCCTATGAAAACCTTGTAGGTCTTTTTGTTGAGATTGTGTTAAACTTATAGAATTATCTAGGGAGAAGTAACACCTTTACGATGTTGAGTCAACTATCCAGGAAAGGAAATGTTTTTCCACTTGTTTAAGTTCTTCTGGATTGTTTTTATTATACAGATTTGCTTTTATTTTATTAAATGTATTTCTAATATTTTCTCTTTTTGTTGTCAATGTGAATAGAGTTTTTTCATTTTTTCCTTTTAATAGTTTTGTCTATGTATGTAGACTATTAATCTAAGAATACTAATTTTATATCCTCCAAACCTACTTAGTAAATTGTTTTTATTGTTTGAATTAACTTTTATCAATTCTCTAGGGTTTTTCATGTATACCATCATGATAACTTCTTTTCTGATTCTTAATAATTTTTTTTTCTTATTGGTGACTACCTCCAGTACAATATGAAATATCAGTGAAACTAGTGGTTATACTTGCTTTGTTTCTAATTTTAATGGAAGTGCTTTTTATGGTTTTCTCTTAAGGAAGGTGCTAAATTTAGGAATAGGGAATATAGACTTTACCATACTTAAAAAAATCCATCAATTTACATTTTCCATAGTGCCTCTTTTTAAAATATAAAGAATAGATGTTAAATTTTTTCAAAGACTTTTTCACAACTCTGGAGACAATCACGAGTTTTCTTTGTTTCTTTGTTTTCAGAAGTCTAATGCCAACCAAATTCTTTGTCCTCTTGTGTTATTTGGTTCTTTTCCTAGAGGCCATGAAAAATTTTTTTCCGTTTCTTAAAGTTTAATATTTTTACCACGATATACATTAGAGTTTTTGGTTTTGTGTTAAAAATTTCAGGTACTTGCTGACTTTTTCAGTATGTAAATTCAGGTCTCTTTTCATTTTTTGAAAAAAGTTTACTTGAATTATAGTTTAAATGTTAGTTCTGTTCTACTATTTCATTTTCCTCTTTAGGGACTCCAATCATATGCATGTTCTTTTTCTTCCACTTGAACTACTTTCTCTTTGATTCTCCTTATTTTATCTCATTTCCATTTCCTTACTTTTGCACCTTTGTTAAAAATTTCTGAATACATTTACATTTGAATATATCATCCTTTGAAAATGATAATTTAATCTTTACTTTTTCAATTTCATTTTTTCCTGGGTTCAACCAATTCAGTTAATCCAGCCAATTCATTTCCTTGGGTTCAATTGATTCTTACTTTTTTTTTTTTTTTTTTACATATTTTTACACTTAGACTTTAAAATTTTAAATTAAAGTGTTGCATGTATTTGTTTTCAAATATCCCCAATTATATGTTTTATAAATAATATTTAATTTAACTTGGAATTGGAGTTCAAGGTCTTGATGTATTTTATTTTTTACACCATGTTTCTTTGTTGTTTTTTGGGTGGGGAGGGGAAGTGTTCTAACTGAATTTTATTTTTAACAAAGGCCTTGTATGAATGAAAATTTCATTTGTCTCTTCATTTGATGAAATTTGAGATAGTTTACAAGATTTCTAATTTAAGAGCACCCTCTTCTGTCATTGTAGTAAAATGGAATTACTTTAATAGATGACTTTTTTTTTTTTTGGTAGTTGCTCTATCCTATAAACTGGAGAGAAATTTCTTTTTAGTATGATGAACACATCATATGCTTACTCAATAGTTCTTGTTGCACACATAGAAAATCCCCCACTAATTCTTTTTTGAATGGTAGTTTGGGTTATGGTGAGGTCATTTTCTCATATTTCAATACATTTCAAGAATATATTTCAATGTATTGATGCTTTTCTTTGAAATTTCAGGACTTTACATTCACTCATCATTTATTTTGTGAGCACATATTGAAATAACTCTTGCAATCTCAGTTATACATTAGGGATGGGTCATGAAAATGTATTGAAGACATGATCTTTATTTTCTTGGCCCACGGTCTTCAAAATTTTTGCCCATGAACTCTCCAAAGGAGTTTTTGAAAAATTTCATAGTCCCTTTAATTTTAAGTCAAAATTAATGTTTTTCAGGTTAACATTAATCAATTGCAAAAGATACAATTTCCAGGTTACTGTAAATGAAACTGACATCACTCTCTTAAATGTAGACATCGAAAATGTAATTACAATGGTGACTGAATATGCGTCATCTTTCAATACAAAATACCTAAAAGTTTTTAACGGTTAGACGTTTGAATTGGGAGCTAAACATCAAATATACTTGGACACAAAGAAGGGAACAACAAACACTGAGGCCTACTTGAGAGTGGAGGGTGGGAGGACGGTGAGGATAAAACTACTACCTATTGGGTACTATGCTTATTATCTGGGTGATGAAATAATCTGTACACCACACCTCTGAGACAACAAACCTACACATGTACCTGTGAGCCTAAAATAAAAGTTAATAAATAAGTAAAAAAAATTTTAAATGTACCTCTCCTCCTTAAACTAACACTTTGATTTCTCTTCTTGACATATTTTATCCTAATCTATTTCATACTTTAAGGTCTTTGATTATATTATTAATCTTTTTCTGCCACAAAATATAAACAATATATTATTATTATTATTTATTATTATTATTGAGACAGGAACTTACTCTGTCACTCAGTCTGGCACGATCACGACTCATTGCAGCCTCTACCTCCCAGGCTCAATCAATCCTCCTGCCTCAGTCTCCCAAAGTACTGAGACTATGAGGGTGAGGGTGAGCCACTGAACCTGGCCTTTATTTCGATGAAATGCTTTTTATTAACCATGACATTTTTAAGTTGTCACATTTGTCAGATAGTAATTTAGTTTTGATATCTTGAACAAATTATCAGATCAGAAATATAAATTCTTGCAAAAGATAAATAAGAATTAATAGCTAGAAAAACTTGCAATGCAATGATGTCAGTATATAATGTTACACTTTACAATAGATGTTTCTTTCAGAAAAGCAACTGATCTGTTGTGCTATTATTTATTCCTTTCTTTCCTCTTTTGTGTTAGTTTTAAACATTTTTCATTCCTGTTTCATTAATTTATATCATGTGTAATTTGTAAGAAGTCAGCATATTTTATGTTTTTTCAATGACCATAATTGTTGGAGGTATCCTTAAAAATAAAAACTAGTAAAAAGTTGGGCAAAACAAATTCTGATCATCATAAATAACAGAATTTTACTGGAAATGCATTTTTTAGATAGCTAGGGCTGATTTTCAACAGGTCGTTTTGTAAAACTAACACTTACAAAATATTGTGGAAAGGGAAGCAAAAGAGGAGAGGAGCCAGAAGGAGGAAAAAGCGACCCTCCCTGGCTGGGCTGGAATCGGCTTCCCAGAAAAAAACATCACCTATGTTGGATCTAAAGGATGAAAAGGCATCCTCTGGGCAAATAGGTTAACAAACAGAAAGTTCTAGACAGAAGGATCAGTTTATCCAAAGCTTGGAGAAATAGAAGAACATGAGCTGTCCAGAAAACTGGTCTTTTAGAACACGTGAAATTCGTGATGGCTAGGAGATAACCAAATAAAATCTGAATGAGATCTGGCGTCGTGTCAGTGGTTAAATCTAAGAATGCGGAGTCTGGTCTGCTGGTAAGCTGTATTCGAAGTCTACAGATTTTATTCACAGGTCCAAGGCTAGGCAAGATTAGAGAGTGAGCGAGTGTAGACAAACAGAAGAGAAACTGCAAGCATCGTCTAACGTCCCAATATTTAGACAACAGGAAAGAAAAAGAATGGGTGAAGGAGAGTGACAGGCATGGGCAGTGATATCCCAGAAATCAGGTAATGAGAAAGAGCAATCCACTGTAAACACTGCCAAGACGAAAAGGTGAAAAGTAAAGATTATCACTTTATTGTAAATTACAGGTTAAAGTGCCTTTTTAATACAAGGGGTTTCAAATTTACAAGAAGAAAACAAACAACCCCATTGAAAAGTGAGCAAAAGACATGAAAAGACATTTTTTGAAAGAAGACACACATGCTGCCAATAAGCATATGAAAAAAAGCCCAACATCACTGATCATTAGAGGAATGGAAGTCAAAACCATAGTGACATACCATCTCACACCAGTCAAAATGGCTATTATTGAAAAGTCAAAAAATATCAGATGCTAGCAAGGTTGTGGAGAAAAAGGAACACTTATATACTGTTGGTGAAAGTGTAAATTACTTCAACCATTGTCAAAGCAGTGCGGTGATTCCTCAAAGAGCTAAAAACAGAACTACCATTGGACCCAGCAATCCCATTACTGGGTATATACCCAAAGGAATATAAGTTTTACTGTCATAAAGGCACCTCCATACGTATGTTCACTGCAGCACTATTCACAATAGCAATGACGTAGAATCAATCTAAACACCCATCGATGGTAGACTGGATAAAGGAAATGTGGTACATATATACCATGGAATACTATGCAGCCTTAAAAAAAAGAATTAGATTCATGTCCTTTGCAGGAACATGGATGGAGCCAGAGGCCATTATCTTTAGCAAACTAACGCAGGAACAGAAAACCAAACACCACATGTTCTCACTTATAAGTGTGAGCTAAATGATGAGAACACATGGATGCACAAAGGGAAACAACAGACACTGGGGACTACTGAAGCATGGAGGGTGGAAGAAAAGAGAGGATCAGGCAAAATAAAAAATGAGTACTAGGCTTAGTACCTGGGTGATGGAATAATCTGTACAAAATCCCCCATGATGAGCTTACTTAATAAATATTTAACTCAATAAATTTTGGATAAATAAAACTACATGTGTAGGTTTGTTACATAAGTAAACTTGTCATGGGAGATTTTGAACCTAAAATAAACCCTGAACCTAAAATAAATGTTAAAAGAATATATAAGGGATCTAGGAATTTAAAATTGTGTGTGTATGTGTGCTTGTGTAAAGAAAAATATATCTAAAGGGATACAAACCTTACTACTACAGTGTAGGATTTGAGTGTCAAGAGTTCTACTTTTTGCCTGATATACTACTGTATATTTTAAAAAGACTCATGACAACCCACATATATTACTTTTTTAGTACGTAATTTTAAAGAAAGAAAAACTTGAATGAAATGGCTAAGCTATTACAATATGGACAAAGTTTCAAAAGTTATTTTTTCATACCTACATTCTAGACAGCACTAATTCCAACATTTGTTTGCATTGATGTTCATTATAGTTATTTCACTATTTGTAAAGTATTATTTGCTATCAAAAATAATACTTTAGGATATTTGATTGACTTTCTTAGCAGTGAATTCCTTTCTACATTTTTCTCCATTGACTTCCTTTCTTCTCTCAATTCTCTGTCTCATCTCCCTCACCTTAGAGTTCTCCCATTTGAGAGAAGTTTAAGACTTCACCATCTGGATTTTAATTTTTCAAGTTTATTTAAGACTACGAGAGTGTTGCCAAGAATGTAAAGCTCTTTTCTTGCTCTTTCTGGGAGTTTTCTGGCTTAACTGTCAGGATTAAAGCGGACAAAAATCAACCTCTTTACTGTAAGCAGTTGACATTAAATAATATTATCTACTCAGCTGATATTTAATAAACTTTTTGGCATCATTCAAACTTCTTTCAGGAGATTTTAGAAATTAATATTATGTATCCTGTCTTTCCATCAAGTAATAGTTTCTGATAAATTAATTTCCACGGAAACTGATATGGGGAAAGTATAATTTTGTTGACATGTTGAGAAATAAATTATGTAAAGTATTGAAAGAGAAAAGAGTTCCAAGAAACTCATTAGTAATTACATTTCAACAATGTTAAACTAAAGCAGTGTCTAAATATGGTCCATCATAAAATTTTTGTTATTGTTTTAATTGGTAGAATTTTTTTAGGAATAAATTACTTTTTCTAAACTATGTGTGTTGATTAAGACAGGAATAACGACTCAAACAACTATTAATCATTGTTTTTCAGATACCTTTGTGTGTTTTGTAATGACTTGAATAGCAACCTTCAATGAGTTTTCTAATAAGGAAAGTGATATATCCATTGGTCTGCTAAATTATAAAGGCATAAACACAATTATAATGAAATATGCATCATTTCCTTTGGAGTTTTTGAAACTGTTTTGCACAATTCCCCAAAGGGTGAGAGAAGAAATCAAGCCATCTTTGATATGCAATATAAATATTTCCCCAAAGAAATCACAACGCCTATTTTTGTTTACTCTTGCTTTGAGTATGCAAATGTATTTCTTATCTAAACCTTAACTTTACTTATAAATACCCACTGCATAAACCAGCAAATGATTTTATTTATAAATTAATTTCATCCTTTGTTAAAGAGAAATAAGAACATTGAAATGAAAAGAGAAAATACAGACACAAAGTTTATCTGAAATAGAAAGATATTCATATCAGAAAAATATCTTTTAAAAACCTGATAGAAATAATAAATGCAAGGAATAGTGAGTATTATTAAAATTATATATTACACATATAAAATGTTGAAAAACATGCACAATCATAATAAAGAGATATTTCTCTAAAATGCACTCACATATTCCTTTACCTTATTCAGACAGATAAATGTAAATAGTACCATTATCCACTATTTTTACCTTACTAACCACAAACTGATTGATGCTCTATTATATCAGCCTATAGAAAAATAAGTAAGCCAACTCCAAAAAATCTTAAAAAAAAAAATTAAACAATGCTTCTTACCGACACATAGGACCATTTTTCTCCACTACACAAGTCCCACCATTTCTGCAGTAATTTAATGGACATTCTAAAAAGAAGCATCACAAAGACACCAGTTAATTATAAATAGTATTAGGAGGAAGAAGAAGATATCACTATTTGTCATTACATTAAATCTAATCTCTAAGAGTAAATTCCTTTCCAGTTGCAAAAAGCAAAAGAATTCCCATAGGCTACTTTCCTGTACTCTCTTCAAATTTGTTCTCTGGCCCCTGCTGCCCTGAATGTGTTCATGCCCTTCGCATGCTTGAATAATCCGCAAAAACAGAAGACTTTTTAAAAAATTATTTACTTGTTTAATTTTTTAATTTTTATTTATTTTTTGCTATTTTTTCTTTCTCTCTTCCTCTTTTTTTTTTTTTTTTTTTGAGGCAGGGTCTTGCTCTGTCATTCAGGCTTGGAATAGAGTGGCATAAACACAGCTCACTGCAGCCTCAACCTCCTGGGCTCAAGCAATCCTCCCACCTCAGCCTTGAATAGCTGGGGCCACAGGGGCACACTACTACACTTGCCTAATTTTTAGATTATTGTAAAGATGGGATCTTGCCATTGTTGTCCAGTCTGGTCTTAAACTCTTAGCCTCAAGCAATCCTCCCACCTTGACCTCCCAAAATGCTAGGATTACAGGTGTGAACCATCGCATCAGACCTCTTTTTATTAATTGACATATAATAATTTTTCATATTTATGGAGTACAAAGTTATATGTATATAGATAGTGTATAGTGACCAGATCAGGGAAATTAGCATATCCATCATCTCAAAAATTTATCATTTCTTTGTGTTGAGAACATTCAATATCCTCCTTGGAACTATTTGAAACTGTACGATATATTATTGTTAACTATAG
This sequence comes from Homo sapiens, assembly GCF_000001405.40. NCBI lineage: Eukaryota > Metazoa > Chordata > Mammalia > Primates > Hominidae > Homo > Homo sapiens. The sequence continues at coordinate 19,615,035 of NC_000010.11, read as the reverse complement.
TCATCTCACAGTGCTTTAGAACACTAGAACTTCTCCCCTGGATTGGGTATCATCTACTTATTTAGAATGTGTCTGCATGACATATTTGTGATAACAATAAAGTGCTTTGTTTACTGAAATATTTCTCTAGTTCTACACAACAGTCCTCATGTCATGGCAGGCAAAAGCCTTTTTTGATAAGTCACTCACTTATGAGCATGCAGATGTCCTACCTCTGCATCCACGATCAATGTCAGTATAACTCAAGTTCGTCCCTGGTCCTCCTATTTCACTGCTTGTGTCACTCTCTAGTTCCAGTTTAACAAGAGCATTTATTTTCAAAGGTGGTTTACTTATAGGTTAAAAAGAAGCTAAATATCTTCATAGAGTAACTACCGTGAGAGTGGTTAGCACAGTTAGCTCCTGATGTTGTGTTCATATGAACTGCCTCCTTATTTCCTCATGAGACATCTTGACCTACTAAGGCCTGTCAATTCCCCTATTCAGTTAAGACCCAAGTTGCTCCTAGGCCTTTTGTTTTTACTTAACACACTGCAATTGTACATATTTATGGGGTATAATTCAACACCTTTCTTGCAGGATACCACTGCTCCCTTGTTGGGTTACTTTAACTCTAACACTTGATTAAAATTTCCTCTGTCTTTAATTTTAATCGAACAAATTTATTCTGAGTCCCTATAAAATGTCTGCCACTGGGCTGGGCACTGGAAATATAATGATAACATAGACATCTTAGTATAGTTGTTCACACTGAGGGCACAGGAGCCCAGTTGCTCTTCTCAGCTCAATTTATTAGCTGAGTAGTATTGGGTAAGGTAGTTAATCTCTCTGTGCCTCTGTTTGCTTTCTGTAAACAAGGTTAACAAACAATAAGTATCTCATAGGGTTGTGAGACTGTTAGAAGAACAACCAGTTCATAGTATGAGTTTAATAAATGTTGACTTTAAAAGATATACAGCCATGGTTCCTGCTCCTACTGTCCTTCCAGATGAAAAAAAAATGTGAGTGTGGCATTAAAATGCAGAATGAAATTACTCTATTGGGATGGATGTTCTAAGGGTGATGGGAACACCAAGAAGAGCACTTCGGTCACGTTTGGGGAGTAAGAAAAAGCTTTCCAGAGAGAATCAGCAGCCATTTATTTGGGCAGTAGTGGTAGTGTGTGTGTAAAGGTGAACATAAAGATCCAGAGGCCAGAGAAGAGGGTGTTGCATGTTTGAGGAACTGAAGACAGCCCAGACTGGTTGAATTGCTCATAATACAAAGATAGTGCAGAAAAAATTCAGAGACACACAGCTTCTGGGTTACATCGGCCCAGCAGGGCCAAGATTTTAAAAAGGAAAGTGTCATGTTTCATGTGTTAGAATTCTGGCTGCAGTGTGTCAAGTCAACAGAAAGACCAAGACTAAAATTTGGGAGCCCCGTTAAAGAGGTTTTTGTTGGTAATAAACTAGCAAAAATATAATGGTTGCCTGAACTAAAGGATTAGGGTGGGGTTGGGGGTAGAAAGTTGTTGAATTTTTAAGAGATATTTAAATATTAGGATTGAAACATCTTGGTGACTATTTGCAAGAGTCGAGGATAATGGCCACACTTCTGGCTGGGTCATTGGCTAGTTGGTGGTTTCTTTCACTGAGGGGGATTTATGGAGAATTAAGATTTTTAAAGGAAAAGATAATGTTATATTTTAAGTGCATAAGGGGCATCGAAGTAGAAGTGACCCGACCTGTGGGCACTGGAATTTGCAGGTCTGAACCTCAGATGAAATATTTAATATGAAGTAGAGATAAAGATTTGTGGTCTTTCTTCAGATTTTTTTCTCTGCCTTTTAGATAGCACCACTGTTCAGGGTTTTTCCTCAAGTCATTTTGACATCATTGCTTCTGGTACATAGATATGCTCCTTGTCTTTGATAAGCCCAATCTTAGCAGAGACAGGGAAAACATTTACTAGAACAGATAAATGATGATAATCATGAAGGATAGTGAGAAAATAGAGAACTAGAAATTTTATGTAAGCAATACGTATTGAAGTAAAACATACAAGGAAAGGGTGGCATGAGAGAGTAGCCTGTTAAGCAGTGATAAGGTTTGGTTCTGTGTCCCTATCCAAATCTTATGTCAAACTGTGATCCCCAGTGTTAGAGGTGGGGCCTAGTGGGAGGTGACTGGATCATGGGAGTGGTTTCTAATAGGTCACCACCATCCCCCTAGTGCTGTCTCATAATAGAGTTCTCATGAGATCTGGTTTTTTGAAAGTGTTTAGCACTTCCCGTTCTCTCTCTCTCTCCTGCCGGCCAAGTGAATATGTGCTTGCTTGGTCTTCCATCATGATTGTAAGTTTCCTGAAGCCAGCTTAGAAGCAGAATCCTGTCTAACCTGCAGAACCATGAGCCAATGAAACCTATTTTTTTTTTAAATAAACTACCCAGTCTCAGGTATGTCTTTATAGCAGTGTGAGAATGGGCTAATAAAGGCAGTCATTGCACACTAGAGAAGGGATAGCAGGCATTAAGAAAGAGGAAAGCAAGGAAGGAGGGAAGTTGCAGTATAGGATCAAAACTGAAATATACCTTGAGTCTGGCATCATTTTTGGTTTCAAAAAAATCAGCAATTTGTTTTCCCGGGGATGTATTTCCCATCTTGCCCTCCCTTAGTCCTCCTTATTTAACTAATTACATAAAACAGGGGAGTAAGGTGCCAAAGATGAGAGTAAGGAGCTCCATACCTCAGGACTGGGGGGCATGCTCCTCTGAACAGAACAAACATAAGCTCTCCTTTACAAATAAGGAATTTGCTGGTTTGACTGAAGAATAGCCACCAAGATGATAAAGCACATATTGGTATAAACCTTGTTAGATAAGCTGTTTTATGGTTATTTTTGATCTTAGGTACAATTTCAGTCTTCCTCAAATATGTATTTTGTTTTATTGAAACATGAGAAGAGTGTCTGAGACTGCAGAGTATCAGAAAACAAACAGTACAGGAGTGCTGACCATTTTTGGGTGGGTCATTCATATTTAAATTTACTACAGAAAATGAAACATAAGCTTGCTTTACATCAGAATAATTCTGTGTGAATCTAAATATGCATTTTTATGCTCTATAGTGGAGCACAGTGCAAAGAACACAGATGTTCACTGGAACCAGAGGTGAATCCTGTTGTTTAGCAGGGCAGAAAACTCACAGTTCATCTCTGTGATAAGATTTTATAAGTTTCTACTTTAGACCCAGGTTCTTTATCCATAATACAGAAAGACACGGCACAAAGTATTTTCAGCTTTGATTTACTCAAAACAATTTTAAGGAGAGAGCAAATGAAATGGGGAAGGAGACGGATATGGCTAATTAGCCATGAAGAGGCTGAGTATTTCCAGGAGATAAGTAGATATAATTCCCAATATGGGAACTGGGAATCTATGGGATAATATTACCATTAGCAGAGGTTCCCAATCTTTAGCCACAGCAATGTCTCTCTGGTTTGTACCCCTTTGTGTTGGTTATTATGAATATGTGTATGGAGGCCAATACAATTCACAACTGATTACACAGAAATATCATTCTGAGTATTTCACATTGAATCCCATTCTGATACATCTCATTGGAAAAGCAGGAACATGCATATAAAAACAATAGTAACTTTTAAACGTAAATAGAAATAATTTGCAAGTAAGCCTTCATTTTTCCCCCTTAATGTACGCAGAGACTAGGGAAGTGACAGGTGCTATATACTAGTTTGCTGGGAAGATTGATAACCACCTAAGTCCTGGTGTTCCCTGATGATACCTGGCTCAGTCATTTAAGACTTATGGGACTTTGAGCTAGGTACTCTAAGTATAAGATTCTTCATGTAGAAATATGTATGATAGCACTTTCTTATAGGACTGCTAGGAAGGTGAAATTAAATTTGTTAGAATTTTTATACTAGTGAATGGTGTGTATAAGGTATTAAATAATTGTTCTCAATCATCTTTCTATACTGGGGGGAGTATTTGCATTGCCTATGAAACCTAGTTTCCTCGATCTTGTTCTCTCCATCTTCTCCTTCTTCTCTTCCTTTTCTTCCTTTGTGGTTATAATTACCATCACCATCACCACTACCATTTACGTAAGGCCTGCTATGTGTCAGGGACTGGCCTAAGAGTTTTACATGTGTTATCTCACTTAGTCCTTCATAACATTGTGTCTTATATACCATAATTATCCTCATTTTGCAGAGGAGGAAAGTGAGGCCTTTCATATAACTTACTTGAGTTAATAGCAAAGAAGCATCTGAACTAGAACTAAACCCTTGTCTTCTGACTCCAAAGCCTGTTAGAGTAAAAATGTCAAATGATTAGCTATTCATCTCAGAATTTCTACAACTGCTTGCAGTTTTTGATGCTGTGGGCATACAAACCCCTTTGAATCATGTGGCATTTATGTACTGTCCCAGATAAGTATGCATATACACAATTATCTGCACATAGTTTGAAGAGATATATACACCTAGGAGTCCACCCGAAGATTTTGTGCAACAAACCAAGTCTCAGAGGGAAGAGATTATTCTCTTTATCTTGAAATCCTGGCACAGGGACTGCAGGAAAATCTATCAAACCTCAAAAGTTGATATCATAGAAGCAGAGAACAGAACAGTGCTTACCAGTGACTGGAGAGAGGAGAAAAAGGACAGGCAGAGGTTGGCCAATGGGTACAAAGTTACTATTAGATAGAAGGAATAAGTTTTGGTGTTCTACTGCACAGTAGGGTAATGGGTGAATATTAAGATATTGTATATTACAAAACTGCTAGGAGAGAGGCTCTTCAACGTTCGTACCACAAAGAAATAATTAATGCATGAGGTGATGGATAAGCTAACTACCCTGATTTGATTATTATACAAACTGTATGCACTGAAATGTCAAATTGTACCTCATAAATACGTATAATTATGATGTGTTAATTAACAAATAAAAATAATAATAATAAACAAACTTGAAGTAGCTCCATAGTACTTGCCTGAGAAGTGTTTGTGTTTGTTTTGGTTTGTTTTTTAAATACTTCTGAGACTTTATTAAGCTGTATCATCATCATCATCATAATCACCACCATTATCAATATTTATTATGTATAGTATTATATTTATAATGTCCCATCCTACAATTTTACATTTTTAGTGACCTTTCCTAATTCTCCTTCAAATGAATGATTATCATAATTATAGTTTCACCTTAGCATAAGCTTTATTAACCTCTACTACTGCAAATGACTAGAAAAACACTTTCAGTTTAGATTTAGCCAGACAAATGCTGGCCAATAATTTCTGGTTGCAAAGCAACAAAAACTTGAAAATAATATACTTGCATAATATAAGTTAGGCATGAACAGGATTCATTGAAATATATGTAGCCTGCAACATCTATACAGTGCCGGAGATTAATGTTCTTGTTTATGACTTAAACCTCAAGGTAGGTGAGGCCAGATAGTGACCATGGTGAGACCACTATGGGAATTACTGGATGCTGTAAGGATTGGGTTTACAAAAGCCTATTAAATGCTGACCTTAAAAGAATATAATGTTGGAAAGAAAGAGTAATGTGTAATGTACATTGACAAATCTTTAGTGTGGGTCAGGCTTAAAGATATCTTAAAAACAGAAGCTTGGCTTTAATATATTTGATTGACAAGCCAAAAAGCATACAACATGTAAATAGATAAAACATAATATAATAGGGATTTTATTTCTGAAAACTGTATTTCACCAGTTCTTTATTTTACTCTAACCCAATATCTGTGTCAACATGACCTACACTTTCTAAGTGAACTGTAAACATGACTGGTGAGTGATGAAAAGAGACAGACAACAAAAATGTGTTCTATAGCACTACCTACAGATTGTCTATGGCTGGGTATGAATGACAAGTCTTCTGTTTTTCTGATCCTATTTTTAAAAGTAGATTATATCAAAGAAGATAACAGATTATAACATATTATATTTGTGCTCCTATAGGACCATGCTGAAGATAATCTTGTCTTTATGTAAATAAGTTTGGGTCTGGCATAAATACTGTCTTAATAGTGTCAAAGAATAGAGCTACTCAGTAACGGCTTTCCTACTCTCTGGAAAGAAAATAATACTGGTATCTCATCTGAAGTACATGCATTCTGAGTGCAGAGAAAGTGACAGAGTATCCATCTTTGCACATTTTATGGGGCCAGATCTGGTCACTTTTTCATTTGCTTTTGTACTCATAAAATGCAGTGGTCTGTGAGTACTCACTTCTAGCAGTATAAAAAAATAAGACTTTTTCACAATGTGATTTGATTACAATTATCATTCTTACAACATATATCTCATAATATTTTCCTCTCTTGAAAGATACAGAGTATTTTCTTAACTAGTTTTGATATAAAATATTTCCAACTTATTTAGGAAATTTCACTGAATATATCTCTATCATTAATTTATATTATCCTTTAGTTAGGACAAAATTATATTACCTTTAATGATCTGTTATTTTATATATCATCCATGTGAAATAAAAAAAATCATCTACTCAGGAGAGATGTTAACAAAGGGCTACAATAAATTAGAAAATTTTAAAGCAGTTTTGATAAAAGTATAATGACAGATATATACTGTCAGTTCCTATGCTGTATACATGTTCCAAGGTCAGAAGAAAGAAAAATGTTTAGAAGTCAAGCTAAGGTTTAATAGATTTGCTATTAAATATGTAACTAGATTATGCAAATAGAAAACTCTTATAAAGAAGTGGACAAAGGAAGACCACAATTTAAAAATAAAATAATAGTACTAGATTGTATAGGGTTTCCTTATTATAGAAACCAAGCAATTTTCAGAGGAGAGATTATTAAATGCTAATAATCTTAAATTACATTGTGTTAAAATTACATATTTGATTTTTCTTTTCTTATCAAACATTGTGTAGAACTAGCATGAGCCCATTATATGTTTATAATACTTTAGACATGTGGCAATTAATGTCAACATTCTTTCTGCCCCCAAACCAAGAATAGAAATTCAATTATTCCATGCTTGCCATTGTTTAGAACCTCAAGTTTTAATATTTTCATTGTGTTGCAGGTTAAGTTGCTGGTTCATATCACAAGAATATCTGAATGGAAATGGGGTACCGGAGCAGCTGGACTCATCAAGCTGGAAATCCATGCAGTCGGCAAAACCATCACAGCGCTGGTGGGCTGGGATACAGCTGTTGGAGGAGGCACACACCAGAGCTCCATTAGAACAGCTTTTGTTGGCTGCAAAAAAAAAAGAATAATGATCAGGGATGCCAGCATGATTTTTTTTTGTCCCAATGAATTCTCACAACAAAATAACATAAAACAGTTTATTATATTACTCTTGATTTTTTCTAGTCTGATATTTTAGAACACAGTTCTTTTTGAAGAATATTTCAAATGGATTAACTTAAAAATGTCTGAAAGAAAAACCACATTTGCCTGAAAAATCACTTCGCAGATGTGCATTCTTAGGGACTGAATTGTGTCCTCACCTCAACATTCATATCTTGAAACCCTAACCCGCAACAGGACTGTATTTACAGATAGGAGCTTTAAGAAGGTAACAAAGGTTATAAGAAGAGAGAGACATCAGGGATGCAATGACATACAGGAAAGGCTACGTGAAGACACAGCAAGAAGGCAGCCATCTGTAAGCCAAGGAGAGAGGCCTTAGGAGACACCAAACCTGCCTACACGTTGATCTTGGACTTTTAGCCTCCAGAAGTGGGAGAAAATAAATTCCTGTTGTTTTAGCTATCCAGTGGGTGTTATTTTCTTACGGCAGCCTGTGCTGACTAATACATGCATTATGTAGTATTACACATATCATCAAATGCATTGCATGAAATGCAAGCAGACACTGATCTGACTTCAATAGGCAAACATTTCAATAGCATAGAGATGCTAATACTCATAAGACTTTGGTTGTTTCGAAAAGTGTCCTTATTGATGTCCATCAAGAGCACTGATGCCTGTTCAATGGCTACCTAGTCTTGCAAAGCACTTTACCTTTCTGTATACAACGTGATTAATTTAATTATATCTGATTTGTCTATTAGGAAGCTCAGTTTTCCTAAAATAATTATCCTAAAATTGTATTATGTTCTTCCTTTCTTTAGGATTACAACTTCCTAGAAAGAAGAGGCTATGGTTGGCATTGGTTTTATGTGTTAGAGTTAAATGGGAACTTCTCATTTCAGGCTGCCACCCAGTGTGAAATATGGTTCCTCTGTTATCCTGCTTGCTTCAGGACCTGGAAGCCAAGAAGCCGGGGTTGCAGGCCTGATCCCTTTTCTGGTTCTCCTCTGGTTCTGGTCTGTGCCAGTGGTGATGTTCATCTTGTTTCTCAGAGTGTTTAATGGGATAACTCTACTGTCTAGCACTGTGATGTGTGTGGAGCAGAGGGAATGTGTCAAAGCATGAACCTACTGCACCATTTTGTCAGAAAGTCTGGATAGATTTCAAAAGCACTAAATAATAATGGTATTGATCTATACTTGTTTTCTAACCCTGCTCCTCTGAGTACCAGGGTTCAGCAGAAATATGTCAAAGGCAGCAGTAGATAGTCAGAACTGTCTTGCACTTAACCCAGGTTCAACAAGAACAGCTTTGTTTTCCTCTGATTTACTTAACGGTATCATATACAACTTCTCATTGAACATTTTACTCCAAACCTGCTACTAAAAGTTTAAAGAGGATTAGTCTGAAAAATTCCTTGCACATGAATAAAGACAATGAAGTTACAACCTTTTCAAAGTAAATTATTTAAATGACCCAAGAATAAATGTCCCCATGTATGGTTCTTATACAGATATTGCCAGTTCTTTCATAAATTATTTTTTTCTTCAAGTATAATTATGAGTTAGAACAAATAATTTATTTTACTTATCATAGGTAATTGACACAATTAACTCTGAAAATGGCCCATTAAAATATATTTTAAAGTTGGACGTAAAAAAAATAGTGTTTTTAAGAATATGTATCTCCATTGACTGAAAACGCTGACTCTGAAAAATTTAGGCAGTACTCTTTATTGAGCAATTCTTCCTAAGGTGCTAGAATATCAATTCACAAAAAAAATATTGAGCTTCCACCACATGTAACACAGTGTCTTAGAACTGAGAATGTAGAGTTCAGGGGAGAAATTTAAAAATGAATGACCAGAATCATACATGGTGATGACAAGAGAACAACAATACAGGAGTGATAAACAGCTGAAAATAATAACAAAAGAAATTCCATAAGGTCAAACTTAGTAGGCAAAGCATTGTTGTAGATAAGCATTTATAAAAACGAGAATTCCTTTAGCATACGGAGATCTATAAAGGCTGAAGGTCAAGACCAGAATATTGAAATATATTTAAAATTTTAATATTTCTAGAGAAAAGCCATATAGTAAAGTAGGAATAAAGTCTACAGATGGAAAATCAATAAGTTTTCTATTGGTTCAGTGAGTACAGCAGGTCGCTTTTGACTAGGGAGGTTGGATAAGGAAGTAGCACAGATAAACCAAAAAAAAAAAAAAAAAAGAAAGAAAAACAAAGCTGGTCCAGGCGCAGTGGCTCACGCCTGTAATCCCAGCACTTTGGAATGCCGAGGTGGGCAGATCACATGAGGTCAGGAGTTTGAGACCAGCCTGGCCAACATGGTGAACTCCCTTCCCTACTAACATAATAATAATAATAAAATAAAAATAGCCAGGATTGGTGGCTCATGCCTGTAGTGCCAGCTACTTGGGAGACTGAGGAAGGAGAATCACTTGAACCTGGGAGGTGGAGGTTACAGTGAGCCAAGATCGTGCCACTGCACTCCAGCCAGGGAATGGAGCAAGATTCTGTAAAAAAAAAAAAATAATAATAAAAAAATAAATAAATCTGTAATCAAATGGTAGAAATTGTCTAGGGTTTCAGGAGAAGACTGATCTTCAGCTTTCCCAAATGTTTAAATCATTTTAGGATATACATAGACAAGATAAATTACATTGCAAACCAAGTAAACTAGGAAATAATAATCTTCAAACTCTTATAAGATAAACTCTTAAAGCAAAATCTTAAAGATAATGTTTATTAAAAATGAAGAAGTATGCACAGGTATATCTCAGCAATATGGCAGGCTCAGTTCCAGATAACCATAATAAAGCTAATGTTGCATTAATGCAAGTCACATAAAATTGTTTTGTTTCCCAGTGCATATAAATGTTATGTCTGCACTATACCTTAGTCAATTAAATGTGCAACAGCCTAATGCCTAAAAAAATAATAACTAGAAAATATTTAGTTTTTAGTTAAGCCAGGCATTGACTTCTCCTCTCTAGCTGTGGAAGTCCTATGTGGCATCTTCTTCCAATAGAAGGCTCTTTCATTGACACTGAAAATCCGTTGTTCAGTGCAGCCACATTCATCAATGATTTTAGCTAGATCTAGATAACTTGGTACAGCTTCTCCATCTCAGCATTTGCTGATTCATCCTGTACTTTCATGTTATGGTGATAGTTTCTTTCCTTCAACTTCATAAACCAACCTCTGCTATCTTCTAGCTTTTCTTCCAAAGCTTCCTCACCTCTCTCAGACTTCACAGAATTAAAGATAGTTAGAACTTTGCCATAGATTAGGCTGGAGCAGAGGGAATGTGTCAAATAATGAACCCATTGCACCATTTTGACAGAAAGTCTGGATAGATTTCAAAAGCACTAAATAATAGTGGTATCAATCTATTCTTGTCTTCTAACCCTGCTCCTCTGAGTTCCAGGGTTCAGCAGACATATGTCAAAACTTTCTCCATATCCACAATAAGGCTGTTTTGCTTTCCTATCATTTGTGTATTCACTGGAGTAGTGTTTTAATTGCCTTCAAGAATTTTTCCTTCACATTCACAACTTGGCTGTTTGGAGCAAGAGGCCCAGCTTTCAGCCTATCTTGGTGTTCAACATGACTTACTCATTAATAATCATTTCTAGCTTTTGATTTAAAGTCAGAGATCTGCATTTCCTCCTTTCACTTGAATACGTAGAAGCTATTGTAGTTGGCCAAACTGCAATATTGTTCAGCCTCAGGGAATGGGGAGACCCAAGGAGAGGAAAAGACAAACAGGGGAATGGCTGGTTGGTGGAGCAGTCAGAACATACACAACATTTATCAATTAAATTTACCATCTTATATGGGCATGGTTCATGGCACCACAGAACAATTACAGTAGTAACATCAAAGATCACTGATCACAGATCACCATAACAGACATGATAGTCATGAAGAAGTTTGAAATATTGTGAGAAACATTAAAATGGGATACAGACACGAAGTGAGCATATACTGTTAGAAAATATGAAACCAAAAAAGGGCCCGCATTGCCAAGACAATCCTAAGCCAAAACAACAAAGCCGGAGGCATCACACTACCTGACTTCAAACTATACTACAAGGCTATAGTAACCAAAACAGCATAGTACTGGTACCAAAACAGAGATATAGACCAATGGAACAGAACAGAGCCCTCAGAAATAATACCACACATCTACAACCATCTGATCTTTGACAAACCTGACAAAAACAAGAAATGAGGAAAGGAGTCCCTATTTAATAAATGGTGCTGGGAAAACTGGCTAGCCATATGGAGAAAGCTGAAACTGGATCCCTTCCTTACACCTTATACAAAAATTAATTCAAGATGGACTAAAGACGTAAATGTTAGACCTAAAATCATAAAAACCCTAGAAGAAAACCTAGGCAATTCCATTCAGAACATAGGCATGGGCAAGGACTTCATGTCTAAAACACCAAAAGCAATGACAACAAAAGCCAAAATTGACAAATGAGATCTAATTAAACTAAAGAGCTTCTGCACAGCAAAAGAAATTACCATCAGAGTGAACAGGCAACCTACAGAATGGGAGAAAATTTTTGCAATCTACTCATCTGACAAAGGGCTAATATCCAGAATCTACAATGAACTCAAACAAATTTACAAGAAAAAAAACAACCCCATCAACAGGTGGGCAAAGGATATGAATGGACACTTCTCAAAAGAAGGCATTTATGCAGCCAACAGACACATGAAAAAATGCTCATCATCACTGGCCATCAGAGAAATGCAAATCAAAACCACAATGAGATACCATCTCACACCAGTTAGAATGGCGATCATTAAAAAGTCAGGAAACAACAGGTGCTGGAGAGGATGTGGAGAAATAGGAACACTTTTACACTGTTGGTGGGACTGTCAACTAGTTCAACCATTGTGGAAGACAGTGTGGTGATTCCTCAAGGATCTAGAACAAGAAATACCATTTGACCCAGCCATCCCATTACTGTGTATATACCCAAAGGATTATAAATCATGCTGCTATAGAGACACAAGCACACGTATGTTTATTGTGGCACTATTCACAATAGCAAAGACTTGGAACCAACCCAAATGTCCAACAATGATAGACTGGATTAAGAAAATGTGACACATATACACCATGGAACACTATGCAGCCGTAAAAAATGATGAGTTCATGTCCTTTGCAGGGACATGGATGAAGCTGGAAATCATCATTCTCAGCAAACTATCGCAAGGAAAAAAAAACAAACACCGCGTGTTCTCACTCATAGATGGGAATTGAACAATGAGAACACTTGGACACAGGAAGGGTAACATCACACACCGGGGCCTGTCATAGGGTGGGGGGAGGGGGGAGGGATAGCATTAGGAGATATACCTAATGTAAATGATGAGTTAATGGGTGCAGCACACCAGCATGGCGCATGTATACATATGTAACAAACCTGCACGTTGTGCACGTGCACCCCAGAACTTAAAGTATAAAAAAAAAAAAAAAGACTATGCTACCTGCAAAGACGGACAAAAAAAAAAAAAAAAAGAAAATTGGCACTGATAGACTTGCAGGATGCAAGGATGAAGACCTCCAATTTGTAAAAAATGTGACATCCGTGAAGCGCAATAAAGCAATACACAGTAAAACAAGGTATGCCTGTTTTATTTATTTTATTTTGTATGCACACAAAAATATGTGTCTATATATGTATCTATGATATATATTTGTGTATATATACACAAATTTTTGTGTGCATACATATTTTTATCATTATTTTTCATTGCAAAAAGCTGAGAGATCAGATAAGATCATAGTTTCAAGGTTTTAAACAATATAACTTAACATTTTTATACAAATATGGCAGATACTACTCATCTTCTTGAAAACATATATTTTGAACCCTTCCTCTATTGGAGATAGGAATTTATCCATATTTCTTCATCCAATTTCTACTGTGACTGGTAACTTATTTTCAAGTTGACTGTTCAATAAAGAGCTCTAATTTATAAGTGTTATAAGTTCACAACTTTGGCACAAATACAGTTAAAACACATTAAAAAATCAGAAAATAAATGGTTTCAATATAAAAAGCTTTACTTTTTTCTTAGAAAGTTAACCGTTTAGATAGTTAAAAACTGACTTTGGCTTTATGAAATTTGTAAACAAAAATATTAGTTTCTGTTGCATTTTAAATAGCATTAATGTTATATTTAATATTTATAAATTTTCTTTTAAGAGTAGGTAGCAAATAAATTATGAATGCATCTAATATTTATTGGCATCCATGAAGCAAATAACATTGTACTGAATATAGGAAAATAATCTGAGCCATTTACTTTATATTTTTCCTTCTTTATTAATATAAGTACAACATAGAATAATTCCAAAATTAAGCCAAAAAATTCACACATAAAATTCATGGAAAACTTAGGTTTCAAAATGTTTCCATGAATAATATCTATTTTTTGGTACATTCTCTTTCAGACATTATATTTTAATATCTATAAAATATTTATTTGGCTGAGCACAGTGGCTCACACCTGTAAGCCCAAAACTTTGAGAGACCAAGGCGGCAGGATCATTTGAGCCCAGAAGCTTGAAACCAGCCTGAGCCACCTAGCAAGACCCTACCTCTACAAATTTTGTTTTAAAAAATTAGCCAGACATGGTGGAGCATGCCTGTGCTGCTTGGGAGACTAAGGTGGGGGGATTGCTTGAGCCTGGGAGGGCAAGGCTGCAGTGATTTACAACTGTGCCACTGTACTCCAACCTGGGCAAAAGAGTGAGACTCTGTCTCAAAAACAAACAAAGAAACAAACAAAAATAGTTATTTCATCTATCATCCTAGAAATTGGTATTCTTTCTTAACAAAATAGGCTAAGTAACACAGGGCATTTTGTGCCACATAGCTCATTCACTCAGGTTGATGATACTTTAAACAATTCATGAATGGTTCATTGGCGCTACTTCCTGAAAGCAAAATTTCTTAATCGATTATCGTTGCTGCATGGAAAATATATTCAAACGTAGAATATGTAAGACTATGGATGTATACCCATTTTCTACTAAAATAAAATCTATATGCAGCAGGTCAATATTTCTAATGGCAGAGAAACTATGGTCTTGGGCTATGAGAATGAAGGCTACAAGCCCTTCAGGGCGCACACACCTAACATACAGCAGGATGGGTATTTATTTTATTCTTGATTTAAATTCAACCAGTACTCTTATTAAAATACCTTAGCAGTTTAAATAATTTTCAATGAAACTATAAGATAATTTAATGGGGAAAGGATAATAATTTATTGTGTGTATTATGCACTCTACCATATTGATTTCACTTAGTCCTCCAATATCTCCCTGAAACAGATTAATTACCATGATTTTTAATGTCAAAGAAACTGAGGAACACTGTTGTAAGAAATGAAGCTGGTAAATGCAGAGGAATAATCTTTACACTGTTGTTCAAAATCACTATCGGATGTTGGGATCATAGCTTTCATATTTAAAGGCCAATAGTAAAAATATTGATGATAAGGTTGGATCTACAAGTCTTAGGAATGTGGACCATTCTAAACCACCAGAAGTGGCATGCACTTCACAGGACACATCCACCGCTACTGGAAAGGAGGTAAGCTACCCACTTCTTCCCATTGTTTTTCACAGTTGTTCTGTCACTGATGGATAGTTTCCATGTACTTCTCCTGATCTATTCTCCACCTTCTCTCCCCATCTGGGCCCTGGAAGGCTGGATGATAAGGATACATTAATAAGCCTTTTAGTCTTCTGGTGTACGATTGGATTTGGTCAATGGGTATCACCACCAGCAGATTAATACAGAGCGAAGAGACTCTTTGAGATCAGCATGGACTAACCGCTTGCCTTAACTAAATGTCATGCCTCTTACCAAGTACTCCCTTCTCACTCTAGGCTCAGGCAACTGAACCTCCTCTCACACTCTTTGGTCTACAGGTGATAAAACCCCCCACTCTTACTATCCCTTATGGCTTTGCTATGCATACTATTTCTCTAATAAACAATCCCCTTATTAATATTTTTTCAACCTATGCGATATCAATAACTATTTCTTGCCAGGATATTGACTGACACAACAGCTGATGAAATCTTGAAACCCTCCTGGTGAACAGAAGATGGCTATCAGAGGAATATCAGTGAAAAGAGTGTTTCTAGTTTTGTGCTGTTCTTCCATATAATTAACTATGCTTCTTTTTTCTTTTTCTTTTTCTTTTCTTTTATATTTTTACGAAAAGGGGATATGTTTGATAAAAACTATATTGCTTCAGTCCATGAAAAATTAATGTTTCCAGTGGAAAGACAATATTCAATACGAAGTGTTCTTAAACGTTGAACTCACAGGTTTATCTAAACACTTCCAATGCTAGAAAAATTATTTCTGCAAAAATAAAGGCCTGTAAATATCAATTATTATCGATTTCCCTGTCTAAAATTGTAAACGTCTCCAAATCCTTAGTCCTACAACATTTAAACATGAGAAAGCCACTGAAAACAAAGAAACCAATTCTTTTTTCCTGCATTCCACTCCAATTGCAACTTCTTGAAAGAGTTATCTACAATTGATTTCCCTCTTCGACATTTCCCATTTGCTCTTAAAAAAGAATGGCTTCAGAATTCTGCCCTCCTACTCCGTAAAAAGTTCTCTCTCCAAAATCCCAAAAACCACTTTTTTGGCTTTTTCCAATTTATATTTTTTAGGCCCTCTCTTATTTGATCTCTCAGAAACATTTCAACCTGTGAATATTTTGATACTAAAGGATTTTTGCCTTTAAGATCCTCAGTCTCTTGTGACCCCGCTATGTCTAGGACCACATCTTCTCAGTGTCTTCAATGTCTGCTTTTTCTAAACAGTCTTTTAGCTGTTCTTTCAGGTTCTGCCTGCCACTTTATCTCTATCCTCTCTCTTTGATCTCATCTACACCCACAGCTTCAATAATCATACGCTGATGGCCATGTAACCTTATGTTATTTTAGCTCTCTCCTGAGCTTTATATATACACTTCCAAACACATTCTGAACCTTTTCATGTGCATGGGTCTCAGGTATCATAAATACAACACATCTAAAACTGAAGCCACATCTTCCCCCAACATGTTCTTCTCCTCTTACTTTCCCTAGCTCAAGCAATGGCACATGAGCTGACCTGATGTCCAAATTAGAAACTTGGAAGTCCTTCTTTTTTTTTTTTTTAATTAAAAAAACCACTCAGACTGCATTCTCTCCCTTTTACTTTCTGGAAGGAAGAGAAGGACATAATCAATGGCAAATGGTAGCTGGAACAAAGCAAGACCAAGAGCCAGATTCATGCTCAGGAGAGAAGGCTGTGCCTCTTCCTTGTGCTTCTGGTGCCCTACTACATGTTCAAAAAAACTTCTCTAGTGGCAAACTATAGACATGATCCCTGAAAGCACAGTCTTGGAAGTCACTGTTGATTCCTTTCTCTTCCTCATCACCTGACCATCCCTTAAGTCTATTAATAATATTTACCTTACACTGTTACCTAATCAATTGCTTTGTACTTGAACTGTGACATCTCCTAACCATTCCCTCTTCCTCACTCCAATCCATCCCATATCCAAGTTAAGTACCGTTATATAGCACTGGCATGGTGGCAGGGTGGTGAGGATTCTGCAAGATCTGGGTCCTGCTTCTCTCTCCAGGATTCTTTCTACATTTCCAACCACAGGCTCTGCTCTAGCAACACAAAATATGCTTCACTCTAACGACCTGTTCTCTGCTCCTGCAACAATCTTCACTTCACTTGAATCCAGATCTCTGCTTTATTCGTCCAATGACTATTTGTCTTTCCAAGTTTGGCTGTGTAATCACTACTCTTGTGAAAATGTAAAGAATCCCTAGCACCATAGAGAGTTCCCTATGTGCCTTCTAACACGAGGTGCTTGTCTCTGTCACAGGATTGCTCATATAGTATTCCTCACTTTCACTGACTAGCCTCCTTCACTAATGTATAGCACATCTTCAGCCTGAGCTCTGACAGTGTCATATCCATCTGTCTCATCAATGTGTAACATAATATGTGGCATCAGTTAGGATCTTAATGAGGTTTGTGAATAAATGAATGAATGAATGTGAGTTTACAAAATGACATTCTAAACCAATAGGAAAGCCCTCAAAGTCTGTTATATCTTCAAATGTTTGGTGAATTGTGGCCACTGAATTCTCTTATTCTATAATTTTGCTCTAGAATTTTGTCCCCAGTCTATTTCTAACGTGGCCTTATTTCCCTTTTGGAACAGAACTTCGCAGGACTAGGCAAACTCCAATTTTCCAATGAATGCTTAGCATTATAAGGACACAGTACCTTCCTAAGCTTCTCTTTAAATAGCAGTCTTATTTGAAGCCAAATATCATATGGCTATATTGAACTTAATATGATTTCTATCAGCCAAATTACATTAGAGCTCTGATGGGAACAGGGATAAGTAATTTGGCAGGCTTTCTCTTTTCTATTCACCTCCATTTGCTTACCTTGTTTCTAAGAAAAGATTAGAAGACCTGACAGGTTGGCTTTATCTCAGAGAGAATATATAGGTAGGAAATAACAGGGAGTTGGAAAACCAATTTGTCAGCCCGAACCAGGAAAAGAGTTTCACTGATTTAAGGCTAAAGCCTTTAAACATCCCAAGGTCATCTCTCTTTTCTTTCATTCATCTTTACTCTTCTTCCAATTGTTCCAGATTTCTAGAGGTCCCATATTACACAGGACCCTAAAATAGCCCTTGCTTTCTTCCTTCCATCTTTCCATCTTTCCTTCCTTCCTTTCCTTCCTTCCTTCCTTCCTCCTCTCTGTCCCTCCCTCCTTCCCCCACTTCCTCCTTTCCTCCTTTCCTCCTTTCCTCCCTTCCCCTCTTCCTTCCTTCTCTCTTTCTCTCTTTCTTTCGTTCTTTTCTTTTCTTTTCTTTTTGAGACAGAGTCTCACTTTGTCACCCAGGCTGGGGTGCAGTGGTACAGTGGCACAATCATAGTTCACTGCAGCCTCAAACTCCTGGGCCCAAGCAATCCTTCCACCTCAGCCTCCAGAGGAGCTGGAACTACAGTCATGCACCACCACACCTGGTTATTACTATTGCTATTTTTGTATAGATGGGTTCTCACTATGTTGCCCAGGCTGGCTTAAACTCCTGGGCCCAAGGGATCCTCCGATCTCGGCCTTTCAAAGTGCTGGGATAATAGGCCTGAGCCACTGCACCCAGCCTCATTCAATGTTCCCCTCTTATAGTTACATTTCAAACTGCCTTTTACTATACCAAAAAGTATAGTCATTAACATGTAGTTTATGGAATACTATCACTGCAGCACTCATCCAAAAATATAATATGGTATATGGTATATAATAAAATATAAAATATAAAATAAGTAAGGAAGCAAACAAATAATAAAATGTTAGGGGTGTTTGGACACCACAGTGATATGTACTCACTTTAAGATGTGTGTAATTACTTCTTACCTAACATTTTTCCTTCCCTACCTGACACTGGCTAATTATACTAAAAATCAAAGGTACTGAATACACAGCCTGGAATTTTACATGCATTTGCTCAAATCATCACAGCCTTGTAAGTTAGGTATTATTGAATTCAACACCTGGATGACAAAATGAAATTGGCAGCACTTAAATAACTTCTGCCAAGACTGCACACATAGTAAGTAACAGGGATGAAATTCAAACCCACATCTCTAGGATGCATTATCCCATGAACTCTTAATGACATGACATTTACTCAGGTAATTATCCAGATCCAATCCTTAACTATACATACCCATTAAAATCAATATTTGTCACTTGATCAAAAAGGAAATCTCTATCAATATGCCCTTTACTTGAGCCATTTTCATGAACCTTTATGGTAGGAAGAAATTCTAACTGAACTTCTCACACCACTTCCATAAACACGTTAATGAGATAAGAACACATAACGGCATCTCCCATATGAATGACTCAGATATAAATGGAAAAGGAAAAAGATAGGTTTAACAAAAATTAGCATGACCACAAACGGGGTGTTGCTGGAAACACTAAGCAAAGGACAGATGCCTTGTTTTGCAACATAACACTGAAAGCTGTGTTATTAATGATACAATCACGGTAAGGCTCTAGAGAACTTCATTTTATCTGTCGAGCTTTCTTTCTCATTTTAAAGCAGCATGCCTTCCCTTACACATTGAGTTAGTGAAAATAACTCACAGCAGATGAGCTCATCTTCATTAAAGTGGCAGTCGGGCACTCCATCGCATAGCAGGAGGGAAGGTATACACTCGTCTGTAGAGCACGGGAACTCCATGTTACTACAGAGTGGAGGGGTGGGGCTGAGAGGACAATCCATTTCATCAGATCCATCTATGCAGTCTTCATGTCCATCACATTTCCCTGAGAGAGGGACACATTGGAGTGTGTAGATACAAGAAAACTGATCAGCTTCACAGGGTGATGGCTGCACTGGGACAGGACCTAAAAAAGAGAGCAAGTCAAGTTATTTTGGCATTAGGGAGTTTCCCTCCATCCAGTGTTGGGACATTACAGGTTGCATTTCTTATTGTATAAAATGAATTTTATTAATTGAAGTAAATTAATTTCTAATTAGGATTAATATGATGCCTACAAACCTGATTCAAGAATATACCTTATCATAATGTCAGGAACATAAAAAATTATTTTAATTTCAATAATTTGGGGGGAACAGGTGGTTTTTGGTTATATTAATAAGTTCTTTAGTGGTGATTTCTGAGATTTTTGTGCACCCATCACCTGAGCAGTGTACACTGTACCCGATATATAGTCTTTTATTTCTCACCACATGCCCAATCTTTCCCCTTGAGTCCCCACAGTCCATTATATCATTATTATGCATTTGCATCCTCACAGCTTAGCTCCCATTTATACATGAGAATATACAATATTTAGTTTTCCATTCCTGGTTTACTTCATTTAGAATAATGGCCTCCAGCTCCATCCTAGTTGCTGCAAAAGACATTTTTTCATTCCTTTTTATGGCTGAGTAGCATTCCATGAAGTATATGTACTACATTTTCTTTATCAACTTGTTGATTGATGGGCATTTGGGTTGGTTCCATATCTTTGCAACTGTGAATTGTGCTGCTATAAACATGCATAAGGATGTGTCTTTTTCATATAATAACTTTTTTGTGGGGTAGATACCCAGTAGTGAGATTGCTGAATCAAATGGTAGTTCAACTTTTAGTTCTTTAAGGCATCTCCATACTATTTTCCATAGTGATTGTACTAATTTACATTCCCACCAGCAGTGTAAAAGTGTTCCATTTCACCACATCCGCACCAACTTCTACTGTTTTCTGACTTTTTAATTATGGCCATTCTTATCAGTACAATATTTCTTAAAAAGCATCATTGACATGAAAACTGACACCTTCAAATTAAAGAAGAAATTTTTATTTCTATGCCTTCAATTGGACTATTAAATCAGATTGTGCTCGAGTGAAAAGATACTTTCATGCAGTAAATTGAAAACTTTGGAAAGATGCACTCCCAGTTTAAGAATTTAAGGGAACTGTTACAATATCAGATATCATTTATTTACTGTCTCTTAGTGGCCTCCACCCAGGGAATCTGGCTCTTGAGACCCTGGCCAGGGTTGGGCCACAGAAATAGAGATCCGCTATGGTTTTGTCACACTGCACTCTGTCCTTGAATCTTGGTTACAGGTCAAAGGCCATGTGCTGTCATATCCAAAGCTAGATAAAATCACAGTGTAATCTAAGACGTTGCATTAGGAATCCTGAAGATAACCTGCTTCAAACCCAACCAACTCATTTTACAAACGAAGACACTGAAGCCCACAAATTTTAAATATCCAAAGACTCAATGCTAGTGTAATAAACTTTTGTTACATGAAACGTTTCTGCAGCAAAGGTTTGGGTCTACATTAAGTCAAACTTAAAGCAGAGGCTGACTGTTGAGTGTTGACTATCTCATGTTTCTAAAGGTCAGAGAATGTATGTGAACATATAGAACGGAACTAATTGGTGATTAGTGGGATGCTTCTTACACTTTGTATTGTCTCTGTGCTAGTTAACGAGGGACTCATCAATATATTAAGGGAAAATATAGAGCCAAGTAGCAATGGAGGCCAGTACAGGAATGGTTTGTTTTCTTGACATTTTAAACTACTTTTATTTATGGGTTGTATGAGAATAATTTGTGTTATATGTAAAGATGATATAGCAAATTCATTTAAAAAATGAGATGTGAAAGTCCCTCTCCCTCCTCACTAAACCAATAGTGAAGATGTATCTAGAAGGTATTTAGACTCTGACCCTATGACCAAAGCCATGTATCTGAGATATATGTGGCTGTGCTTAGGGAGCCTATGTTTGTAGAAATAAGTATATTTAAGTAGGAGAGAGATAAATGTATGACTTGGAGACATCGCTATCATGTTTTAATCTAACTGCCTGAGATCACAGCAGCATATAAAATTGCAATGTTCCAATGTACAAATTATAAATTCAAACCTTGAAAGCAAATTGGATTTAAATCTTTATACTTTTATATGTAGCTCTTCTGGTACTGGACCATGGTCAAATAAATAGTTTCTCTGTAATCTTTCCATTAGATTAATCTCACACTTAAAGTACAGAAATTCTTTTTTTTTTTTTTTAAGTATTTTATGCATAAAACTTTCATCTTTATGAGCTCACCAAAGGTTGAAAAGATTTAGCAAATTCTTTGCATATAACGAGAATCTAGAACCAACTTTAGTAATACATCTATGACTTAGCTAAGTATTAACCTTTTCTTTTTAAAAAATGAGGAAAATAATGTTCTCTATTCAAAAACAAAGACTTTTATGTTTCCCAGTTCCTATTCAGAATGGTGTGTGTGTGTGTGTGTGTGTGCGTGCGTGTGTGTGTGTGTGTGTGTGTGTGTGTGTGTGTCTTTATATTTTTCCTTATAGTGGATATGCAAAAATAAAATTTTCTCCTTTCGGAGGTAGGCATTGCATTAAAAGCAGAAATTTTTTTTACTGAATGGCACTCAGAACTCACTTGTTCTAGGCCCTTCTTTTCAAGGTCGCCATTGGGCTTGTCCTGCGTATAACAGATACTGGCTTGTACTGCCCAGCTTTCTCCATCCACATCAAGGTGTTCATTCCCCCAGCTCCTGGGAGGTTGCCAGATGACAGCTCATGGTTGAGTCAGGCCCCAGGAATTGCCCTCCAGAGTTACACCTCCTCCTGGGAACAGCTCCATTCATTGACTGGTGAGTTGGAGATAAGATGGCCCAGGCCCTATGCCTCAATGTAGGGCATCTACGAAGAGCCATGGCAGCTCCAGAGCTCCCCGTGGTATCGGCTGAGCCTCTTATTGCACCTGCATCACAGCTAAACCCCACCTGCCACCAGGCAGATGTCCAGTTCTGTTTCCTCCCCTCCTTTGCAGGGATGTTCCTGAGAGAATTTCTAAGAAATCTCTGATTTGGAGTCTGCCTTAAAGTCAGCTTCCCAGGGAACCTGACTTATAACACTCCCCAAACATAAAAATGAATCTAGTTTAAATTAAATCTCCTCTGAATTGCCCCTCAGATTTTCTAATGAAATATTTCTGATGTAGGGTGAACATGACTTTGCTTCCTACAGAGAGTCTAGGTAGTCTCTTAGCCAAGAGGCAGTCCTTCATTCACTCCGTATTTCTTTTATCTCTTGTTTTAACCTAATGAAAATTCTGTATTCTACTATAAATCTATACTTTTTGATATAAGTGGTTTCCTTTCAGTAATCAAATAAAACTAATACTCCTGGAAGATGTACTATCTTTATCTTTTGACTTGGATGCAAGTTGCCACATATATGCTTCAAGAAGTGTGGCCGGATGGGCATAGCGGCTCATGCCTGTAATCCCAACAGTTTGGGAGGCTGAGGTGGGCAGATCATCTGAGGTGAGGAGTTCAAGACCAGCCTGGTCAACACGGTGAATCCCTGTCTTTTCTAAAAATACAAAAATTAGCCTGCGTGGTGGCACACGCCCGTAATCCCAGCAACTCAGTAGGCTAAGGCAAGATTATCGCTTGAACCGAGGAGGCGAAGGTTGCAGTGAGCCAAGATAGTGCAACTGCACTCCAGCCTGGACAACAAGAGCAAAACTTGGTCAAAAAAAAAAAAAAAAAAAACTAAAATAAAAGGAAGGAAGGAAAGAAAGAAGTAAGTGTGGCCACCGTTAAGAAAGTTAATGTTAATGGATTTATTCTTGGGTTTCACCCATGGATTTACCTAATTATCATAGGAGGATCGCAAATTTCAAGTGTGTTGGAATCAACCATAAAGTTTATCTCATTTTGCAGTTTGCAGTTGATTTATTCTTTAGATATTGGAGCTGATAATAATATACAATTCCTTTAACTCTGTAAAATAAGAACAACATTCATTGTTCTCTTTTTAATACTCTGAAAAACCTCAGCACTACCTTAAATGTAGGTTACTAAGTGAAAGAAGCCAATGTGAAAAGGCTACATGCTGTCTGATTTTGACTATATGACATTCTAGAAAAGGCAAAATTATGGAGACAGGAAAAGTATCTGCCAGGAATTATGGGGTGGGAGGTAGGGCAAGGAGGAATGAATAGGTAGAGCACAGGAGATTTTTAGGGCGGTGAAACTAACTGTATGTGTCATATTATAATGGTGGATACATGTCATTATATGTTTGTCAAAGTTCACAGAACTTTCAACACAAAGAGTGAAACTTAATGTATACTATGGACTTTGGGTGACAACAATGTGCCAAAGTAGGCTCATCTCACTGATTGTAACAAATGTTCCACTCTGGTGCAGAATGTTAATAGCAGGGAAGACTATGAGGGTGGGGGCAGGGAGTATATGGGAAATTTTCTTCTCAATTCTGCTGTGAACCTAAAACTGCTGTAGAATATAAAGTATCCACATACACACACACAGACACACACACACAATGTATATATACACGTATTAATTTTGCTATATAAAATAAAATACCGGTGGTGAGATATCTAACTATTTATTGATCTGTCTTATGAAAATCTGAGGAGCAGTTCAGAGCAGATTTAATTTAAACTAGATTCATTTTTATGTTTGGAGAGTGTTATAAGCCAGGTTCCCTGGGAAGCTGACTTTAAGGCACACTCTAAATCAGAGATTTCTTAGAAATTCTCTCAGGAACATCCCTGCAAAGGCATAGGACAGATCTATAGATAGATCTATAGATAGATATCTAACCACCTATATATGTTATATAAAATATATACATATATAAAATATGTATATAGACATATACATATATTATATAAAATATGTACATATATAAAATATGTATATATACATATATAACATATATAATATATACATGTATATAAAATATGTATATATACATATATTATATATATATCACCACCAATATTCCTTAGAACCTACATTGTAACCAACACCTCATGTTTGATGATTTTCTCTTAAAATTTCTATGTTCTAATTTCTCCAAATTTATTTGAGAATGTAGCAATTCAGCAAGTAAATGCATAACATTTTGATAAATGTACTGTGTCTTGATAAAGCACATTGGTCCATTTCTTACTATGCCCAGTGAGCTGCTTGGTCAGGCTGCTTAAAACCAATGGCATTGAGGTGTAAGGCCAGTGACCGTGCAAGGGAAATGTTATAAGGTCGGTCCTGACAGTAGTTAGCTTCCTTGGGAATTCATGTTGTTGTTCATTATGCGAGACAATTACTGTGTAGAAGAGCCAAACACGCTCAGAGCAAAAATAAAACTTAGATCAGGAAAGCAAACGAAAATAGCACATTCTGTGTTGATAGTGTCATTCGCATATACCCCAAAGAGTACCATCAGAAAGGATGAAGGGATGTACAAAAGAAATGTAGATGGGCACTCAGAAACGTTGATGACTGTGATGGAGGGAAAGAGATGAGAAAATAAAAACATTCCAAAAAACTGTTGATTAATTTTGACAAGATGACTCATTATATATCTTAGGGTTGTTTGTTTCTTTATGTTAAGTCAACAGTTTTCAAGCTACATCTGATTAGGGGTATTATACAGACCTAATGCTGGGGTGAGAAGAACAAAGAGACTTATATGAAAGCTTAGTTTATGTGCTTTAGGGAGTGTTTCTCAAAAGAAGGATCCCAAGTTTCAAGTGTGTTGGAATCAGCAATAAAGCGTATCTCATGCCATTGTTTGCAACTGATTTATTCTTTGTATATTGGAGATGATTCAAGGCTGTACCAGCAATAAAGTTACTCTCATTCACTTGCATGCCACCAAATATGCTTCCTTCAGTAAGGAACAAGGGTGTGGAGTCACAGCTATATATACAGCTATATATATATATAGACATACTTTATTTATACACACTAATACTGGTATACATAAATACCAATGTTGGTATTGAGCTATCTATCTTCTATCTATCTATCTATCCACCCATCTATCTATCTATCTATCTTGGACCAATATCCCTTAGAACCTATGTTTCAGTCTGTACATTGTATGTGATACTTTTCTCTTAGACTTTTAATTTTTTAATTTCTCCAAATCCCTTTTAATATTCAGTAATCCAACGCTTAAAATGTACAATAAAATGTTTACCCTTGTCTTTATTGTGCAAGTAATGTGACAAGCACATAAACATCAGCTAGCATGGGTTTCAGCAGAAAACAGGTTAAGAAATGTTGCTTTAGACTGGGCGCGGTGGCTCATGCCTGTAATCCTGGCACTTTGGAAGGCCAAGGCGGTCGGATGACTTGAGGTCAACAGTTCAAGATCAGCCTGGCCAGCGTGGTGAAACCCTATCTCTACTAAAAATACAAAAATTAGACAGGCATGGTAGTGGGTGGCTGTAATCCCAGCTACTTGGAAGGCTGAGGTGACAGAATCACTGTAACCCAGGAGGTGGAGGTTGCAGTGAGCAGAGGTTGCGCCATTGCATTCCAGCCTGGGCGACAGAGCAAGACTCCGTCTCTACATACATGAGTAAATAAGAAATGTTGCTTTAGAATTTAGGGAATCAGTGTACAAATTAGTTTTGAGAAAAAGGATTCTGAAACAACAGAAAATCCCACAATCAAAGCTATACTTGTGCTTTGTCAGGAAATTGTAATTGCATCACTACAACAGCAACTTCACCAGGTCTTTACTCAGGTTTTCCTCAAAATTGTGACTTCAAATAGAGCTTGGACACTCCAAATCATATTGGACAGGTTTTAACCTCTCTTTGAGAATACACTGACATCCTAATGCCCAAAAGAGTAAATGGCATGAGATGTGTGTTCAATCAATATTTCTGACATTGATGAATAATAAATCAGTGGTTTAAATAGTAATTTTACTTTTCTTGATAATTAATATGGAGTTACATAATCAAAATGGACGAACTGAAGAATGCTTTCATTGACTATTTCCATGGAATAAATCATAAATAGTAAAAGCATAGATCAACAATATAGAAATTGGAAAGGTCTTTAAAAAAAAATTTTCGAATATATTTGAATATAAACTTATAATTAAGTAAAGAACTCTGTCATTCATTTCATATGCATCCTACAGGTCTTTACCAATTGCTTCAGAAGTTTTATGTGATTTTACATAAAGGACTTTTGCAGATGATGTTGTATATACATGTATATATATTTAAAAGAATAAATCTGCCATTTTTGTTTTCTACTAGATCTTAAAAGAGAGGAAAGGAAAATATTTAAGAAAAAAAAAAAACACCTAGGATAAGGAATTTAGGAACTGGCATTTCGGAACTTTGACATTCCTAGTAACCAAGACATCTCTCTGATTACCATACTCCACTTCACTTTGTGCTATGCAGACAGTTCCAATTCCTGGCATTTAGGAACTTCGACATTCCCAGTAACCAAGACATCTCTCTGATTACCATACTCCACTTCACTTTGTGCTATGCAGACAGTTCCAGTTCCTGATATTGTAGGTGTTTCTTTGCCCTCCCACAAGACGTTAAGTTTCATTGTTCATTTAATGTTTGCACAGCAGTAGAAACATATTTCTTATAGGAATAAAAATTACATCACACTGATAATTTGCAATGAAATTCAATGAAATGTGCTCAAGAATTTCATACAAGTTCCATAAAAGCCTAAAGTGCCCAAGGATAATCTGATGGATTTTTACCTTTATGATTAATATGTTTAGAGAAAAGGAAAATTGTCTGTTTTGAAGGAAAAAATGATATGCAAGTAGAACTTCAGTTTTAAAGTGCAGAAATTATGTTGTTGCCAAACATTGTCATACGCAGTGATATAGACAGTAAAAATGCTCATTGTAAAATATAATGCACCTGTTACAAATGGGTAACTGTCTCTGGCAGGCATTTTAGTAACAGCATTCAAAAAGATTACAAAAGAGGGGAGGAGCCAAGATGGCCAAATAGGAACAGCTCCGGTCTACAGCTCCTAGCGTGAGTGACGCAGAAGATGGGTGATTTCTGCATTTCCATCTGAGGTACCGGGTTCATCTCACTAGGGAGTGCCAGACAGTGGACGCAGGTCAGTGGGTGCATGCACCGTGCGCGAGCCGAAGCAGGGCGAGGCATTGCCTCACTCGGGAAGAGCAAGGGGTCAGGGAGTTCCCTTTCCTAGTCAAAGAAAGTGGTGACAGACGGCACCTGGAAAATCGGGTCACTCCCACCCAAATACTGCGCTTTTCCGACGGGCCTAAAAAACGGAGCACCAGGAGATTATATCCCACACCTGGCTCGGAGTGTCCTAGGCCCACGGAGTCTCGCTGATTGCTAACGCAGCAGTCTGAGATCAAACTGCAAGGCGGCAGCGAGGCTGGGGGAGGGGCACCTGCCATTGCCCAGGCTTGCTTAGGTAAACAAAGCAGCCAGGAAGCTGGAACTGGGTGGAGCCCACCACAGCTCAAGGAGGCCTGCGGGCCTCTGTAGGCTCCACCTCTGGGGGCAGGGCACAGACAAACAAAAAGACAGCAGTAACCTCTGCAAACTTAAATGTCCCTGTCTGACAGCTTTGAAGAGAGCAGTGGTTCTCCCAGTACACAGCTAGAGATCTGAGAACGGGCAGACTGCTTCCTCAAGTGGGTCCCTGACCCCTGACCCCTGAGCAGCCTAACTGGGAGGGACCCACCAGCAAGGGCAGATTGACACCTCACACGGCCGGGTACTCCAACAGACCTGCAGCTGAGGGTCCTGTCCGTTAGAAGGAAAACTAACAAACAGAAAGGACATCCACACCAAAAACCCATCTGTACATCACCATCATCAAAGACCAAAAGTAGATAAAACCACAAAAATGGGGAAAAAACAGAGCAGAAAAACTGGAAACTCTAAAAAGCAGAGCACCTCTCCTCCTCCAAAGGAACACAGTTCCTCACCAGCAACAGAACAAAGCTGGATGGAGAATGACTTTGACGAGCTGAGAGAAGAAGGCTTCAGACGATCAAATTATTCCGAGCTATGGGAGGACATTCACACCAAAGGCAAAGAAGTTGAAAACTTTGAAAAAAATTTAGAAGAATGTATAACTAGAATAACCAATACAGAGAAGTGCTTAAAGGAGCTGATGGAGCTGAAAACCAAGGCTCGAAAACTACGTGAAGAATGCAGAAGCCTCAGGAGCCGATGCGATCAACTGGAAGAAAGGGTATCAGCGATGGAAGATGAAATGAATGAAATGAAGCGAGAAGGGAAGTTTAGAGGAAAAAGAATAAAAAGAAACGAGCAAAGCCTCCAAGAAATATGGGACTATGTGAAAAGACCAAATCTACGTCTGATTGGTGTACCTGAAAGTGACAGGGAGAATGGAACCAAGTTGGAAAACACTCTGCAGGATATTATCCAGGAGAACTTCCCCAATCTAGCAAGGCAGGCGAACATTCAGATTCAGGAAATACAGAGAACGCCACAAAGATACTCCTCGAGAAGAGCAACACCAAGACACATAATTGTCAGATTCACCAAAGTTGAAATGAAGGAAAAAATGTTAAGGGCAGCCAGAAAGAAAGGTCGGGTTACCTACAAAGGGAAGCCCATCAGAATAACAGCAGATCTCTCAGCAGAAACTCTACAAGCCAGAAGAGAGTGGGGGCCAATATTCAACATTCTTAAAGAAAAGAATTTTCAACCCAGAATTTCATATCCAGCCAAACTAAGCTTCATAAATGAAGGAGAAATAAAATACTTTACAGACAAGCAAATGTTGAGAGATTTTGTCACCACCAGGCCTGCCCTAAAAGAGCTCCTGAAGGAAGCGCTAAACACAGAAAGGAACAACCGGTACCAGCCACTGCAAAATCATGCCAAAATGTAAAGACCATCGAGACTAGAAAGAAACTACATCAACTAACGAACAAAATAACCAGCTAACATCATAATGACAGGATCAAATTCACACATAACAATATTAACTTTAAATGTAAATGGACTAAATGCTCCAATTAAAAGACACAGACCGGCAAATTGGATAAAGAGCCAAGACCCATCAGTGTGCTGTATTCAGGAAACGCATCTCACGAGCAGAGACACACATAGGCACAAAATAAAAGGATGGAGGAAGATCTACCAAACAAATGGAAAACAAAAAAAGGCAGGGGTTGCAATCCTAGTCTCTGATAAAACAGACTTTAAACCAACAGAGATCAAAAGAGACAAGGAAGGCCATTACATAATGGTAAAGGGATCAATTCAACAAGAAGAGCTAACTATCCTAAATATATATGCACCCAATACAGGAGCACCCAGATTCATAAAGCAAGTCCTGAGTGACCTACAAAGAGACTTAGACTCCCACACATTAATAATGGGAGACTTTAACACCCCACTGTCAACATTAGACAGATCAACAAGACAGAAAGTCAACAACAATACCCAGGAATTGAACTCAGCTCTGCACCAAGTGGACCTAATAGACATCTACAGAACTCTCCACCCCAAATCAACAGAATATACATTTTTTTCAGCACCACACCACACCTATTCCAAAATTGACCACATAATTGGAAGTAAAGCTCTCCTCAGCAAATGTAAAAGAACAGAAATTATAACAAACTATCTCTCAGACCACAGTGCAATCAAACTAGAACTCAGGATTAAGAAACTCACTCAAAACCGCTCAACTACATGGAAACTGACCAACCTGCTCCTGAATGACTACTGGGTACATAACGAAATGAAGGCAGAAATAAAGATGTTCTTTGAAACCTACGAGAACAAAGACACAACATACCAGAATCTCTGGGACGCATTCAAAGCAGTGTGTAGAGGGAAATTTATAGCACTAAATGCCCACAAGAGAAAGCAGAAAAGATCCAAAATTGACATCCTAACATCACAATTAAAAGAACTAGAAAAGCAAGAGCAAACACATTCAAAAGCTAACAGAAGGCAAGAAATAACCAAAATCAGAGCAGAACTGAAGGAAATAGAGACACAAAAAACCCTTCAAAAAATCAATGAATCCAGGAGCTGGTTTTTTGAAAGGATCAACAAAATTGATAGACCGCTAGCAAGACTAATAAAGAAAAAAAGAGAGAAGAATCAAATAGACGCAATAAAAAATGATAAAGGGGATATCACCACCGATCCCACAGATATAAAAACTACCATCAGAGAATACTACAAACGCCTCTACACAAATAAACTAGAAAATCTAGAAGAAATGCATAAATTCCTCGACACACACACTCTCCCAAGACTAAACCAGGAAGAAGTTGAATCTCTGAATAGACCAATAACAGGAGCTGAAATTGTGGCAATAATCAATAGCTTACCAACCAAAAAGAGTCCAGGACTAGATGGATTCACAGCCAAATTCTACCAGAGGTACAAGGAGGAACTGGTACCATTCCTTCTGAAACTATTCCAATCAATAGAAAAAGAGGGAATCCTCCCTAACTCATTTTATGAGGCCAGCATCATCCTGATACCAAAGCCGGGCAGAGACACAACCAAAAAAGAGAATTTTAGACCAATACCCTTGATGAACATTGATGCAAAAATCCTCAATAAAATACTGGCAAACCGAATCCAGCAGCACATCGAAAAGCTTATCCACCATGATCAAGTGGGCTTCATCCCTGGGATGCAAGGCTGGTTCAATATACGCAAATCAATAAATGTAATCCAGCATATAAACAGAACCAAAGACAAAAACCACATGATTATCTCAATAGATGCAGAAAAGGCCTTTGACAAAATTCAACAACCCTTCATGCTAAAAACTCTCAATAAATTAGGTATTGATGGGACGTATCTCAAAATAATAAGAGCTATCTACGACAAACCCACAGCCAATATCATACTGAATGGGCAAAAACTGGAAGCATTCCCTTTGAAAACTGGCACAAGACAGGGATGCCCTCTCTCACCACTCCTATTCAACATAGTGTTGGAAGTTCTGGCCAGGGCAATTAGGAAGGAGAAGGAAATAAAGGGTATTCAATTAGGAAAGGAGGAAGTCAAATTGTCCCTGTTTGCAGATGACATGATTGTATATCTAGAAAACCCCATCGTCTCAGCCCAAAATCTCCTTAAGCTGATAAGCAACTTCAGCAAAGTCTCAGGATACAAAATCAATGTACAAAAATCACAAGCATTCTTATACACCAACAACAGACAAACAGAGAGCCAAATCATGAGTGAACTCCCATTCACAATTGCTTCAAAGAGAATAAAATACCTAGGAATCCAACTTACAAGGGATGTGAAGGACCTCTTCAAGGAGAACTACAAACCACTGCTCAAGGAAATAAAAGAGGATACAAACAAATGGAAGAACATTCCATGCTCATGGGTAGGAAGAATCAATATCGTGAAAATGGCCATACTGCCCAAGGTAATTTACAGATTCAATGCCATCCCCATCAAGCTACCAATGACTTTCTTCACAGAATTGGAAAAAACTACTTTAAAGTTCATATGGAACCAAAAAAGAGCCCGCATCGCCAAGTCAATCCTGAGCCAAAAGAACAAAGCTGGAGGCATCACACTACCTGACTTCAAACTATACTACAAGGCTACAGTAACCAAAACAGCGTGGTACTGGTACCAAAACAGAGATATAGATCAATGGAACAGAACAGAGCCCTCAGAAATAATGCCGCATATCTACAACTATCTGATCTTTGACAAACCTGACAAAAACAAGCAATGGGGAAAGGATTCCCTAGTTAATAAATGGTGCTGGGAAAACTGGCTAGCCATATGTAGAAAGCTGAAACTGGATCCCTTCCTTACACCTTATACAAAAATCAATTCAAGATGGATTAAAGACTTAAACGTTAGACCTAAAACCATAAAAACCCTAGAAGAAAACCTAGGCAATACCATTCAGGACATAGGCATGGGCAAGGACTTCATGTCTAAAACACCAAAAGCAATGGCAACAAAAGACAAAATTGGCAAATGGGATCTAATTAAACTAAAGAGCTTCTGCACAGCAAAAGAAACTACCATCAGAGTGAACAGGCAACCTACAGAATGGGAGAAAATTTTTGCAACCTACTCATCTGACAAAGGGCTAATATCCAGGATCTACAATGAACTCAAACAAATTTACAAGAAAAAAACAAACAACCCCATCAAAAAGTGGGCAAAGGACATGAACAGACACTTCTCAAAAGAAGGCATTTATGCAGCCAAAAAACACATGAAAAAAATGCTCACCATCACTGGCCATCAGAGAAATGCAAATCAAAACCACAATGAGATACCATTTCACACCAGTTAGAATGGGAATCATTAAAAAAGTCAGGAAACAACAGGTGCTGGAGAGGATGTGGAGAAATAGGAACACTTTTACACTGTTGGTGGGACTGTCAACTAGTTCAACCATTGTGGAAGTCAGTGTGGCGATTCCTCAGGGATCTAGAACTAGAAATACCATTTGACCCAGCCATCCCATTACTGGGTATATACCCAAAGGACTATAAATCATGCTGCTATAAAGACACATGCACACGTATGTTTACTGCGGCATTATTCACAATAGCAAAGACTTGGAACCAACCCAAATGTCCAACAATGATAGACTGGATTAAGAAAATGTGGCACATATACACCATGGAATACTATGCAGCCATAAAAAATGATGAGTTCATGTCCTTTGTAGGGACATGGATGAAATTGGAAATCATCATTCTCAGTAAACTGTCACAAGAACAAAATACCAAACACCACATATTCTCATTCATAGGTGGGAATTGAACAATGAGAACACATGGACACAGGAAGGGGAACGTCACACTCTGGGGACTGTTGTGGGGTGGGGGGAGGGGGGAGGGATAGCATTGGGAGATATACCTAATGCTAGATGACGAGTTAGTGGGTGCAGCGCACCAGCATGTCACATGTATACATATGTAACTAACCTGCACATTGTGCACATGTACCCTAAAACTTAAAGTATAATAATAAATAAATAAATAAATAAATAAAGATTACAAGAAAACTATGAGGGAGGAAACTTATAATTTAGTAGCTGCAATTATAAGTACTCTTGTTTTGAGGTTATTGTGAATTATAACTTTGTGCTTATGTCTCCATAAGAGCCCTTCATAAAGTATACAAATATTAATTTCTTTTTTACTTTAAAAAATCATCCTCTGTAATAGGGAAAGAGAAAAGAATAATTTGATCTTATTTCATTTCCATATATTTAACAGCTTAAATATTCCTAGAAAGATGGAACATGACCTCTATTTGACCTCTATTTGACTAAAGACTCAGAGAGTCCTGGCATGCGTGGGAAAGTACACAGAGTGTGTGTAGTATAAGGAATCAGGAAGGCTTGTTTGGCCATGACCAAATGTCAAAAGCCAGACAGAGAGACAAGAGTGAAGAAAATGGAGAATTTTCCAGAACTTATGTCCAATATGGAAGCTAACAAGTACCTGAGAAGAGATGCCAAGCACAAAATGATAACTATTTTCAAAGTGATTAACTGCAGCTAGTCGAGGCCAAAGCTAAATAAAATTAACATAAGAGGGAGCTGGAAAAAATTCAGACTTAACACAACATAAATGCACTTATGTATGTATACGTGATTTGTATAAATATGTGTGCATGCATGTACACACATCCAGAGGCAGGTTACCTGAAAGCAGGAAGCTACTCACTAATAAAAGAGGAGTTTTGGAGAAGATAGCTGGGCAGTGGATGATGGGCGATGTCATTCAGAGGAAACATGAGATTGAGGTGGAAAAGTGAAAACCCTATTATCAGAGTTCTTCCTTTCCTCCAGCACATACAGAGGCTGCAGACTTGAAAGAAAATAAGATCTGAAGAAACAGAACGTCTTAAGAGGCCCCAAAAGAGTTATCGCTTTTACCCAATATCAATATTTGCCAGGATTATAAAGAATTCCTCCATAACCAAAAATAGTGATACCACTGCAAATGGCTGAAATTGCATACATGATGAATTTGCTGCCTTCGTATAACCCCCAATAATCTAAAACATAGGTAAAAGTGATAGAATATATTAAAAATATAAAAAAGGAGTGTGGTTGCTGGCCATTTTTTTCCTGCCATAAGGCCTGCAACCCAGAAGGTCCCCTGTGGATTACAGATTCATTCCTGTTTAATCATTTCCATACGGTGCTATAGTTCCCAGTCTGACATATCAGTGTTAGTGTGGCCACAATTATATGCAATGTTGGACGAGGTTGTGTACTTGGCCTAATTTAACGCTGTTGCTCACTGATAGCTCTAGCTCATATTGACTGCAAAGTTTATTTAATAGCTAAAGCATTCCCCAAATCCTCAACTCCTGACTTCTAACTTTAGGCCCAGTATTATTAAATACATTCCTCTTTTAATTCAATGTTCACATTTCTTCCAGCACACATTTCCCAAAGGAAGAACTCTGCTCAAAAATGGTTCTCCAACGCCTTACAGGGTTAAGTCTACCGTTTTTGGTTGGTATTCAACAAACTGACACCTGATTCAGACTCACCTATACTCACGTTCTTCCCCATAAAACCCTAAAATTACAGAGGAAATAATGAATATATCAGATGATAGGATATGCATTATATTCTTGGCTAGCTGATATAGGGCTGAGAAAGAGAAAATCATCATCGGTCCTATGAGTGGAAAGCTGTTACTCACAGAAATTATGAGCAGGTGCTTTGGTACCAAAACATAATCAGATCTTTCTCTTAGTATAAAAGGCTGAGAATGGTAAGTTAGAAGCCATCTCTCATCACATACCGTAAATATATACAATAAAAAAATTCTAGGAGTTTTAGACAATCTATCAGTGAAGGAAGTGTCAAATTTCACATGCACTTTGGGAACAACAGTTTTATCTGTCTTAGAAAGGTCAAATGAGAGACAAATCATTTAGTGACATGGGCATTAGAGAAGACCACTCAAGACTCAGATATTATTCTACAATTGTCTATTAGAGACCTTCCAGGTGCAATATCTCAACTACTTTATGATGCAATCAAATAGAACAAGTGGCTGTGATACCATAACTTCCAGTTAACAGTGATCAGCACTGAAGACAAAGACAAACATAGCTATGTTTAACGGAAGAGTAACTTTTGAGGAATGTGAATGAGTAGCTTAACCTAAACTTTAGAGTATTGTATACGACTGTATCATTATTTTATAAAAGAAAGAGGTTTACATGAATTTCTGCCTTCCTAATAGAAACAACTAAATGTGATTAGATTAAGTTGTGTTGGGTTATCTCGTCCCATTATATAACACGTGTTCTTGGAGATTGTTGGTCAGAACTGGATGGCTCAAGTACGAAGATGTAAGCTAAAAGATGTATATATGGAAACCGACAGGGCGCACATGTCACCAGCATAACATGAGTTACATTACCATCAGAAGAGGAAGGAAGGGCAAAACACAAGGTTTTGATATTTTGCTTCTTGGACTGGTCTTTAAATTGCTTAGTCATGTGTACTGTGAAAAAAAAAAAACCCAGCCATGAGCTTGTCAACTCTTTTCTGTCCCCCAGGCTGGAGTGCAGTGACATGATCTCAGCTCACTGCAACCTCCGCCTCCTGGGTTCAAGCAATTCTTCTGCCTCATCTTCCCAAGTAGTTGAGATTACAGGCATGCGCCACCACATTTAGCTAATTTTTGTATTTTTAGTAGAGACGGGACTTCACCATGTTGGCCAGGGTGGTCTCAAACACCTGACCTCAGGTGTTACATCTGCCTCAGCCTTCCAAAGTGCTGGAATTACAGGCATGAGCCACTGTACCTGGAAGCTGGTTATTTCTCTAATCCCATGCTTTCTATTTTGAGCAACTTTACATTGGTGAAAAATGAAAACTCATATATGTATACACAGTCACTGTTTGTTGAACCATGAATCCCACCCAGGCCCTCATTTTCAGCTATTTCTACAAATAGCAACTGGTCCTTTCTGGGTGAAATATTCTTACACATCAATAAGATGCTACTGCAAAACAAACAAAACAAAAACTGGTCATTCTGGGAAAGTCTCTTGTTTTTCTATTTGAAAAAAAATCTTTTCTTAAAACTTAGACTATTAAGTAAAACAGTGTTGCATTCTCCTATTTCTTAGGCAACAAATGAACTTGTTTTTATAAAGTCTGGACGCTTTCCAGCAAACAACATATGTGTTCCAGGGAATCAGAAAAATCTTAATAAATGTAGCCTCTCATAGCCCAAGAGAACAAAACAGGGCCAGACTGACCCTGGCTGTGAAAAGCCCACAGAACCTCTCTGACATACTTGGCCTGGTAAAACATTTGGATGCTGAGCTTTTCTGAGTGAAAATAAGAGTCAGCAAAGGTTATAATTTCCAAAAGTGACCAGGAATTTAGGAATTGATTATTGTTTCCATATGGTTGTGAAATGACTAAGTTACCATGTTATGTTTTATTATATATATATATATGTTATGTTACATATATATTAATGCATATGTGTTTATGTGGCCAACGTCATCATTCACGTAAAAGGCTTCATCTTTAAGACAGAGTGTTGGGACAGTGATTTGTGTTTTATCTTTGAGTTCTGGATGAGACACTTGTGAAATTCAAGCTAATGGAATATAGTTCACACTGAGAGTGATTTTTCCATGGTTGTCATTTGGAGTTCCTCCTCCTAATTCAACAAAATTCCTTCCAGCCTGATGATCAGCAGGCAACCAAGTAAGAACCAGCTCCTAGTATAACAGGCAGACTCCTCCAAAGGCTGACAAGCAGGGAATCCAGGTTTTACTCCCTTAAGCCTGCCTGGTATTAGCATTTAATGGCATTTTCTGGCTCTAATGTTTTTGCCTTCAAATCTAATATCCCTTCTAGGAGCAAAAAGGAATTAACCCATCTTTTGACAAACAGTAAGGACTTCATGACCCACAATAATAGATTTAAAATCTAATAATATTCTATAATCCAATAAGTGAATCAGGATTGCCTGATAATCATTTCCTTTCGGCTTTTATACATTTATCACTATTCATTTTAAAACGAGGCCTTATGAATCACTAACTGAACCAAAATCATAAAAATGACACTTGTATTAAAACCAAGTTTTAAATAATTTATCTACAATTGTTATATTACATACAATACATACCTACTCTATGTTATATATTGACTTGAAATTTATTTTACATTTTTCTCAATCAACTTTGAAGTTAAAGATCACTCATTCTTGCCAAATCAAAAAAAAAAAAAAAAACGACAATGTGGATTTTTCAATGAGGAGGAACTAAAAATGACAGAGAAAAAGCTACAGATATCAACAATACCTTATAAGATATACTATAGAAGAACTGCAAAGTTAAGACTAAGACAATCTCAGAGCGTGGTTTCCTGTGGGGAGGATTAAGGATAAATTCATGAAGAAAGCAGCTTTCGCTCTGCCCCTGAAATTGGAGGAGGATTTACACAAGAGGAGATAAAGGGCTGTGCTTTCTCAGCCAGAGAAGTGGTAGGACTAAAATCATGGAGATGAGGGGATAAGGGTAATGACTTGAGAAAGACAAATGATCCTGTTTGATGGGATCATTTTATAGACAGAGACAGACAAGTCAGTAGGTGTACTAAAGAATAAGAAACTTATTTAGTAGGCAATTAACCACTTAGCATTTTTCTCCTCTTTATAACTTGTATGAATTTATGTATTTTGATTAATTTCCCTTCCATTTGCTCTATATTATACAACACGAAAGTATACATGGAGGGTTTATTGTTGCTGGTTAATATTATAATTTGGCACAAATGTTGCAGAATTTTCAAGCTTAATTCTGATACAATGAGAATAAGAATTGCTATCATCCAGAGATGCATGTTGTGTAAATAAAGATGATAGAGTAACTTAATGTGACTTTGAAGTGTGGAAATACGACTTGGGATTGGAAGTGGTATGCTCCAACCAGCACTTTCAATTTCAGAGGAATGGCATAGGGAGTATTCGAGATTATTCATAGTGATGTCAGAGGGGTAGATAGCTCAGCTTCCAAAGCTATTACTTGAAGGCAGTGGTATTAGCCAGTCTTACCCTTGAATGTTGTCAACCTCACTTGCTTCCTGCTCATGTCCTTGGTTTGGGTTCTTAGCCTTACTTCTGAATTTTGGAGCAATCCAATATCCTTTCAGTAAACTTACTTTTTGCTTAAGTTAGCCCAACTGCAATTCTGTTGCTTGCAATAACATATTCTTTGGGCTATTACGGTAAGATAGGGGAGTGGTCTATCTTTCTGGAAATGACAACATAATTGGTACTAGAGGACTAATTTGGGAGTTGTATATGTGTGAGTAAATTAGATATATCAGTTATGTGGCCGTTACAGAGATTCTGATGAACAATCATAAGGTCTCAAATGAGAACTTGGGCAGTAAAAAGAAACTGGGAGAAGAAAAGGTTGCAACATTTATAGAACTTGCTGACTGAGCTGTACTGAGAGTAAGGATATGGAGCAGTGGACAATAACTGGTTTCAAAGTGGATATTTAGAAGGGTATGCACAGGCACTGAAGACATTAATGGCATTTTCTTATTATTCATAACCAAGAGATTTTTGAGGCCTTCTTTACCAACTGAAACAAAAGGTACAAATATCCTTATTATGAAAAAAATTATTGCTCGTTGGCAATAATCTCTATTAGTAATGCTGAGTAAGTGTGTGTTTGTGTGTGTGTGTGTGTGTGTGTGTGTGTGAACCATGGCCTTTACTTTCATTCCACTGTCTAGCTGGGAGGGAGGTGGTGCTGTTGAACCTGGGGCTCACTCCTCTGACACTATGTGTAGCAGACTGCTTGTACTGTGCTGAGCATTTATTTTTAATATCACCTTCAGTGATGTCACATGCACAGCTTGAAATCAACCATGCTGGGAGTATTTACACCAAAGAAATAGGCAAATGCCACAAACTGGGGGTTTGTTTAGCCCTACTGGGTCTTGCTTATACCAATAGTTGGTCCTCTGTATATGTGGGTTTTGCATCCCATGAGTATTGCATTTGCCATCTGCATTTGGTTGAAGAAAATCCATAAATAAGTGAAACGGGGCAATTCAAACCCATGTTGTTTAAGGACAAACTGTACTTTAAACTTTCAAGTATGCATCATTATAGCAGTATTTTCTTAGATTGTAAACTCCTTGAGAGCTGTAGACACTACTACATTCCTACCTGTCTTTCCAATCCAACTCAAGGGCACCACATAGATTTTCAACAAGTATTGACTGAATGAATGGCAAACTTAAATTCAAAGACACGCCCAGTAGTGAGAAGTCTTCTGCATCTAACTGCAATGACATTTCTACTTTTACCTCGCTGCCCTAATTCTCAGATCTCCTTTAACTCCCTCCTCATTCTCTCTGAACTTTCTCCTCTCCCATGTCATGCCCTGTGCCTTCTGTTTCCCTAATCCTCTCCTCCAAATCCAGTATCATATAATCATAAAATGGCAGAGTTAGAAGGGATTTAAGCAATCATCTATTTCACTTCCCCGGTGACATAACATGGTCTAGAGAGTTTAAATGATTTGCTCAAAATTGTACAAGTATGGTACAGCCATAGTTTAGACCAAGCTCTCCAAAATTTCATTCCAGTGGTTCTCTTTCTATCACTTGATACACCACACAGAGCCTGCTAGACTATTCACAAAATTCATTCTCTCTCTTTCTCTCTGCCTGTCTCTTGTTCGCGATCTCTCTTTTCCCCACACATGAAATTGAGAACAACTTTGGAGGCTGAGGTCACTGGTGAGTATGAAGAGAGAGGTGCCATATAACATATAAATTCATCTGATAGTGACTTTTACTTAATCATCTCTTCATTCAACATATTTCTCTAGTCATACAACATACTTATTGAATGCTTACTGCATAACAGGAACTCATCCAGGCATATAGAATACACCATTGAACACAACTGACAAAGATCTCTGCCTTTAAATAATTTATGCTTAAGAGATTACATCTGAAAATAGTTACTTGGACTTGCTATTCAAGCCTAGAGATACCAGAGAAGAATGGGAGTCTCTATTCATTAACGAAGTGAGAGCTATTATTTTTCAGCAGTGAAGCAGAATTTGTACTATTCCCCTTGACTTTCTTAAGAATTTTATTCTTTATTTTGTTTGGCACCTTGCTATTTGCCAATAACTTATATTTATCAAGTCAAGACAAAAAGGATGCCCTATGATGACATTTCTTTTCTTTACAATATGCATTCACTCTCCGAAGGTCTATTTTCTTTCAATTCAATAACAACAAAACCTAGTCAGGGTGGGTGGGGAATAAGTGCCCATAATGTTAATCTCCCAAACTGGAGTTTTCTCAGGGTTTGAACATGTTGTAGCACCTCATTATTTATTGTATTTATTTAAGGGAGTTTCAGATGCAGCATGTTTCAATGGAGAATATTAAGTGACATATTAGGTCACTTAAGAATTATTCTTAGGTTTCTCAAAATGATTCCTCATTTGCGTGAAGTGGTTAATGCAACTCTTAGGAAAGGCATATTCCTAAATCCTGACAATAATCATTTCATGAATGAGAAAAATCAGGTCCAATGAGTAGTAAGCGTAAGGAAAATTTTTTCTTTTTTAGGGGGAAAGGGGTGGCTGAGCATGGGAAAAGTTTAATGATTGTTCTGGGAAGAGAAAGAAAATGAGGGAGGCGGCGAATCCCTGCTTTTCCTGCCTAAAGTTGGATGAAATGTGATTTATTTCCTCATGTCTCTGCTCCACTGGGCTTCCATGAGACCACTTCCTTGCTGTCTCTTCTGCCCAGGGCTGCTGCCACCACCTGGCTCAGAGGAAGGGGCACCAGAGGCTGGCTGAGCTGGGTAGGTGCCCTGATCCACCATGCCTGCCATGCAGAGCCATGCCAGCCTTGAGTCCCTCCTAGGAGAGGGCCATGGTGATGTGAGTCTGAGCCTTAATGGCTTCCAGGGCCAGGGAGAGTTTCCAACCACCTTGACCTGGGGCAGGATCCAGAAGGAACACGTGCCATGGTCCATGTCATCTGCCCACTGTACAGAATCCAGAGCTCATGGCTCAGTGGGGTCCCTTCCCAGACAGCAAACAAGAGAGACAGAAAGCAAATCAGGAAGCAGTGTGTAATGAACATCTGCACCCAGTTCTTGACTATAAAATAGAGTTCAATGTTCCCAATTGTATTAGTTTTCTAAGGTCGCAGTAACAAAGTATCCCAAGCTGGATGGCTGAAAACACCAGACATTTATGCTTCCATAGTTGTGGAGGCCAGAAGTCTGAATTCAAAGTATTGCTAGAGCCCTGCTCTCTCTGAAGACTCTGGGGAGAAGCTGCTCCACTCCTTTCTCTTAGCTTCTTTTTAGCTGACCATGTTGGGCATTCCCTGGCTTGTAGATGAGTTACTCCAATCTCTGCCCCCTTCATTACATGGTACTCTCTGTGTGTTTTCTCCTCTTCTTCTTCTAAGGACATTGGTCATATTGGATTAGGGCCCACCGTACTTCAAAATGCCGTTAATTTACATCTTAATTACATCTACAAAGGCCCTATTTCTAAATGGGATCACATTCTGAGGTCTTGCAAAGGACATGGATTTTTGAGGAGATACTATTCTACCCAGTATACCAGCCAACTTCTCTATGGAAATAATCCACTTCCTAGCTATGGTGCAATCTCCATAGGGTTGTGTCTATTGGTATTTGCCACCTTATTAAACTCCTGACAAAACTGTGTAGAAATGCACAGTATTTTCAAGCCGTTGTTGTTTCAAATATTTTACAACCTCGCATATAGTTTTAAAAGTATCAATGTCCTAACAGTGCTGTCAAATGTTTCTTCCTCATGGAGACAGATGAGATCCTCCTTGTTTCAAATGATAGAAGTAAAACAGAAAACACATTTCTCTCTTGGAAACTCACATGGCTAAGGAAAACAGATGCAATACAAATAAACACACTCTTCTGCTGACTCAGAATTTCTGGAGACGCTCTATTTCATCAAGTTTGTCTCATTTACAAAATGTTGCCCTGGGAAACCTAAAGGAATTAAGGTAGGACAGAGAAGTAATAATGCGGAAGGTAAAGGTTGGTGGGGGATAGGACTGCTGTTTTTAGTGGAATCTTCTACATGGAAAGAAAACTGCAGGTAACTTGGGGTGACAAATGTTGTTCTATATTCCTTCTGATTATGGGAGTTTGTGGTGGTGGTAAAAACGACAACAAAACACCTAATACGAGGTTGAAATGAAGTTGAGAGTTTGCCATTTTTCATCGTAGGATGTTAATCTGGACCTGAGCAGAAAGCTGGCAGGTTCAACATACAAATCTGGATGTTTTGTTATAAGATCTTAAGAAAATTATCTGTTAATTCAGGCGCCTTGGTTCATTTGTGTCTCATCTGAGTTAACTAAGGAAAGACAAACAAAGCTAGTAGTTTTAATGGTATAGACTTTTTCACATTTCCTAAGGGCTGAAGTATGAACACATAAATGAATACTGAAAAAAATCTATTTAATTTCTGTTTCTTGCTTTATTCAGTAAACATTCATTGTGGTAGGTCCTGTACTATCAGAATTCTTGCATTTTTTAACAACTATATTTCATTGGAAAACTGCAACATATTCTGTAGATTTTTAGCCTACAAAATAAAAACTTTAAAGAGGAATGTCTCAAAATTTGACCTATTTTAAATTTTACGTGAAAAAGAATGCTTCCTTTATCCAGCATTTCTGGGAAATGAAGTTTTCCTTGCTAAGTACTAACACTTCAAAGATAATTTTTACCAAATGTCTCTGAGGCATATATATAATTGTTATTTTTTTTTTCCTTCTTGAACATCTAAAAATTCTGTCTGACTTCGTTGGCTGCTATTTGGAAAGTTAAGGCAACTGGAAGAAAAACTGCTAAGGCAAAACTAATTCTAGATTACTCTTTCTTACACAGGATAAACATTTGCTCCAGAACAGTGAAACATCAGATCCCTGAACTACTAGCAGAACAGCTCACTCATAATGTTTATTCTGCCTGATGTTCCTTAACTTTGGCAAGTAAGAAGAGCTAATTATAATCTGTTCTCACATTTCACAAAGTTTCACAGATATGAGTTATTATTAGCAGGAATAACTATTGGAAAAACACAAGACTCAAAGTAATAGAAATAAATCCATCTATGCAATAGTTCCCTATAATAATTCCAACAAATAACTTCATTTAGGGCAAGATTAAAACAACAATTAACCCAAAATATGTGGTTCTAATAATTATATGTATCATGACTTTATACTTTTACTTGATAAAGTAACATCATTATTTTTTCCCAATTACAAACAACACAGTTTTAAGAAGACATTTAAAAATATGGAAGAAAAATACCATGAAGAAAAGAAAAATAATTCATATTTCTATTTTTCAGAGACA
Source organism: Homo sapiens (assembly GCF_000001405.40). NCBI lineage: Eukaryota > Metazoa > Chordata > Mammalia > Primates > Hominidae > Homo > Homo sapiens. Next base: position 19,570,784 of record NC_000010.11, on the reverse strand, counting down.
GATATTATATTTTGTATATCTTTCAGGATTTATACATAGATATCTTTTGTGATGGATATCTTATTAAAATTGGTTTCACACTTTTCTTTACCATTTTCTACACTTAACAACAGACTCTTGTATTATTTAGATCTTGCATTGGTTATAACTTTCACATTCACCAATATATTACGCATATTGGCTATTATATGACATAGGTGTTCAATGCCTAAATTATGTATTAGGCACCTCTCAAAATTTTCCACCATAGTGCCACAAACCACAGGGAAGAGGATATTAGTAATAGTGCTAAAGGATCACATTTCTTTAAAGCTTTCTGTTTTCTCTTTGACATTCCCCTCTATAGTAGATTTGAGTTTACTTCAAATGTCACATAATAAATTACTTAACCTTTCTTGCCAAATCTTCAAATAAACCCAATGAATTACATCAGATTTATTTCACGGTATTGCATAATCCCTAAGACATTGCTGTGGATATCTGTATACCCCAGTCTGAGGAGTACTGATTTAATTTATGATTTTCTAAAAGCATCTGCCTGAATCAATAATGAAGTCGTGCTGTAGAAGCTATGCCTTAAGACTCTGGATTTTGGAGGAGAGAATGGGGCTTGGGAGAGGTACGTTTATTACACAAAATGACAAAGTTCAAGGTTTAATACCAAAGGTCTTAGTGTTTTGTTTTGTTTTTAAATCGTCCTTGACAGGAAAGTCTGTTCTATAACACACTGGGAAAGATGAACCTTTATACTTTAGTGAATGTTAGGTTGTTGTTCACACAATCAGTTTTCATTGTTAGTATGTTATTTTGAAAAACAGTAATTTCTTAGGCTACATTTCCTAGGCCCTATGTTAGAATTTGGAGATGAAATACAAGCTCTCAAGCTTCTCTGGCTCTTGAGGAGCTCAAAATTAGTAAAATACATATAATTATGTATTATTCCATTATATACATATGGAATAATATATATAAGAAATATATATAAATATATATTCCAGTATATATATAATTATATATAATGATAAATATGGAATTCTATATATGGACTGCATGTTAATATATAAGTTACTAATATATAATATAATAATATTAACAATATATAATAATATAATATATAATAATACATTTTATAATATATATACATATTATGGAATATATATATAAAAGACAGAGCAAAGAATGACTGGAAGAAGAGGTATTGAAGACATGAGCTGCAGAAGACTTTTATGGAGCAATGGCTGAAAGAAGTTGAGAAAGCAAATGTTCTAAAAATATATATTCATGCTTGGGAAGATGGAGATTTTTTTTTCCTGAGATAAATGGTGAGAAAAAGAGTTTGGAGACAGGTGAAGGCCCATTTGGAGGTGAAAATGAGAAAATTAAAGGAATTTATCACAAAATGGCTTTATTCTATTCAAAGGACACAAAAATACCAGCAAAGTAAAGAACATGCCAGGGAGAAATGGGAGAATTTGAGAATTGCTGGAGAAAATTGGTGCCAGGAAATGAGAAACTCATGCATCTGGGACCCTAAAAGGCCTAGCTAAGGTGATAAACCAGCATATTTAGTGGTCCCCATTAGCATGACCAGCAGCAGTTTTGGAAAATTCAGATGGTTATATGACCTCAATTGCAAAGATGATTAAAGCCATTATGGCAGAATATGGGATGAATAATCTATTCTTATTACTATATGAATATCGATCTAGAATATATTTACAATAATAGATTTACTTACTGTAAATAAATCATAATTTATTGTAAATAAGTTTATTTATCATAAAGCCATTATGGCAGAATTTGAGCTGAATAATCTGTTCATATTATTATGTGAATATGTATCTAGAATCTACAGAGGTGTGCCGATAAATAAATGTACTAACATGTGCAAAATGCTTAGCCCATCGCCTGGCACATACTATTCAAATTCGTGTGAAAAAATTAAGAAATAGAACATAATAGAATTCAAAATTCTGAATGCGAATGGATTTGGATAAGGTGTTATCATTAAATCTATAATTATTGGGGGAAAAAGTAAGAGGCTGCTTATGGAACCCCAAAAACCAGGAGGCCTTGATGATCTAGAATATATATTTTTTTCTTATTAATGTTACTAGAAAATGGGTTTAGGAGGAGTAATGAAGATGAGAAAGTGGTGATTATATGAGATTTTTAATCTTAAGATTTCAAAGGGGATGCTCAGGCCCTGAATGTTAACCATGGGAGTGACTTCCTGAGGAAGCAGGCTCACACTGGTTATTAGACTCAAAGAAGTTGATGTTTTAGATAGGGTGTGTCACCTGAAGTTGAAATTGCCCAGGATTTTGAATCCAGAGAAAAACTATGAGAAGAACAAAAATTCAGATGTGTGGCCTTAAAAGAAAAGAAACTTTGAGTAGGAGTGTTAGGAAAAAACAACAACAACAACAACAACAACAACAAAACCACTTTTAAAGAGGCATTGAGTAGCTAGAAAGACAATGACCCTACTATTTAATATTTTAAATGGAAGACTCAGTAAGGGAACAAACAGCCCCACTTAGGGGGGGAACATCTTAAACAGTAGAAATTCAGATTTCAGTTAAAGGGGTGACTTTTTTAGAAAAGGTGTTTAGAATAGAACTTTTTTTTTCTTTTTGAAATAGAATGAGCATTCTAGCTTGTACAATAGAAACGGTTAGGAGAAGGAACGTGGCCTGGGGAAGGGAAAAGCTTAATACAGATGGAGAAGACAGTCTGGAAGATAATAGGTAGCCACAGGGGCCTTTGCCTTGTGCAGTTCTTGTGAACCTTTGGGAATAAGGAAAGCAGAAAATAAAGCTACATTCACCGAACAAAATTTCCTCAGGGTTTCTAAAACAACTTTAGTGCAAAGTTATTTTGTTGCCTACAAGACATGAAAATTTCATGGCGAAGTTCATAGGCAGAGAAACTTTACTTCTTAGTATATGTGACTCTTTTCCATGTGTAAATAGAACTGGACCCAGAAATAAATGTAATTCCTCAGAAATTCCCAAATCTTTAGTATATTTAGATACTAAAAACAAATACTTATTCCCATTTTCTGAAAGAATCACTTACCTCCAGTCACACACTCTGGGGTAAAAGAGATGTCATCAAGAGCAATAAAGATGTCCTCATTTCCATCCAAATCAGCTTCAAATGCCACCTTAAACGGACTGTTACTGGAGAGAGGCACAGAGCCATATGTCCATCCCGTTCTTTTATTTCCAATCACTGACCACACCAGGATGTTTAGCCCCGATTCTTCAATGGTATACACCTTTAAAAATCATTAAAAAATAACTTTTTATGATTGGATATTAGAAGTATCAGGACATCCAGATGATTGATGAAAGAATGAAATCTCTGGCTATGTAACAGCTCAATACATTGACTATTGTATTTTCTATCTGTAGAAATTGTGGGTTATAAAGTGAGCCAATGGATGTTATATTTTCCTGGGTTAGTAGGACCTTTATTTGCTTCTGTCATCAACTTCTGTACGTCAAACTGGACATAATTAAAAAAAACCGTAACTGTCTTAAGCATTTAAAAAGCTGGAGGAGATATAAACACAAATTTTTTTATTGCTAAAGAACTTTGTCTATGTTAGACTAAGGTTGTGTGACTGCAGAAAAAGAGGACCCTCATGATACATGAATATGATAAATGAATATGAGATTATAGAAGTCATTTTAAAAACCACAGTAATGTGCAGAAAATATTTTAACATTTTGAAGACAGAAAATCTTCCTGGATGAACTAACATTGATATTCACCACTTTTTTTAATAGTTCAGTGACTAACAAATGCAAGAAATAAGGAAACAGAAAGAGTTAGCTTTGAAACCAACAAACATACATGCTAGATTCTAGTACTTTTGCTTATCAGTACAAATAATTTAAAAAAATAACATATGGCATTTTCTAGTGCTGTTTAAAACATTCTATAATTGAGAAAAAAGTTAAGATTAAAGAGTTATATTTCTATATTCTCTTTTTGCACCTAAATTTTATAGTTATCAGATACCAACGTTATATATAATTTGGTAATATAGCAATATTTAAACATCATACCATATACAGATATATATATATAAAATACTATCTATATATCTCTATATATTTATATTTGGCTTATGGTATACTTCAGCATCAGTTATACAACCCTTTTTTTCACATGGGAAAAATAAGACCCAGAGAAAAGAAAACACATGGATATTAATTTTCTTCTATTGCAATAGTACATTTTTCCAGTGACCTCCCTCTTACTAAAAAATCTTACTGTGTCACTGTTTTCTTAGTGTCAAAATTTAGCTACAGTTAACTTATCCTATAAAATATGGCCTGGCGTGGTGGCTCACGCCTGTAATCCCAGCACTTTGGGAGGCCAAGGCGGGCAGATCACGAGGTCAGGAGATTGAGACCATCCTGGCTAACACGTCTCTACTAAAAATACAAAAAAAAAAAAAAAAAAAAAAAAATTAGCCAGGCATGGTGGCAGGTGCCCGTAGTCCCAGCTACTACTCAGGAGGCTGAGGCAGAAGAATGGCGTGAACCCGGGAAGTGGAGTTTGCAGTGAGAGGAGATCATGCCACTGCATTCCAGCCTGGGCAACAGAGGGAGACTGTGTCTCAAAAAATAAATAAAAAATATATATCCAAAATTTATTCTATAAAAAGGAAAGAATAACAGTCATCTTATTTTATGATATTAAATTGTCATTGCAGAAATACTAGCAAGAATCACCAAATATTCCAGAGACAGAAGATAAGAATGCTGCTAGTGTCCCCAAGTACAAAAGAAATCTAAGATCAATTTCAGAAATCGAGATGTTAATGGAAATTAAACAAAACAAAAATAAATCAAGATGATTATAAACTAAAGAAAAATTTAAAACTTGCCCAAAGTTTGGAAACCTGAAATGTGAGACTTTAACCCTAATATCAAGTTGGACATTTTGGAAAAGAAGCTTCTCAAGACATTTCTCAAGCAAAAAATTACTTTTAATGTTGATCCTTTAATTAACAAAAGCAGCTAAGATTCAATCAGAAGGGAATTTGGATCCATTGACTACTTCCAGTCTGACACGTAAGCACTCATCCCAAAGAATCTTCAGCTCCAGGATCTGGTGGATACTTGGTTTACAAGTTTATGTAATTACTTTTCCATTTCTTAAAAATTAAAAATAAAAAGATGTGAAGTTTCTAATTCAACTTGTTGATAATAGAGCATACTATACAGAACCTAATTAAAGTGAACTCTGATTTTTACACAAATCTTGGTTTACATCCCAATAACTTAAAAAGAAATGGCTTTATTATATTTATTTTGTAATTTCTTCCTGGCAAAATTAGTTTACAAATTACATGAAAATGTAACTGTAACACTTTGTTTTTCCCCAAACCTCAGCATATATTTATTTATTAATGTGTCTATTTTTATTGGTTTTACAGTTTATTTTTCTCTCTGCATTCAGTCTTTTTAATCTTCAATCCTACATGCTCTTGTCAAATTCATTTTCGTTCCATTCTCTTCCTACTCTACTTCTCAAAACCACACCATGACTTTCCCTCCCCAATGTCATGAACATTAAACTCTCCAATACATGTCAACACATCTTACCCCATTATTTGACCCTACCACTAATCCCAATTAATTCTGGTCAACTTTACTAACTCACTATTTATTTCAATGAAATTTCTGGCCAGTTTGTAGGTTATTTCATTAGTAACATGTTATTTATAATACCTCCAGTATATTAAGTTGAATAATTACATGTTACGTCAAGTGTTTTCATAGCCACTGTGGCCAATGAGAAAACTAGGAGTATTACTTAGGAACTCATAACATTGCTTATTCATTATGTCTAATGAGAAGCCCACTAACAACTAAAATTATAGCATATATTTCTGTCCTTCAATAGAAATGATATTATTGTATTCTGAGGGTGTCTTTGTGATAACTCTCAGCAAAGTAATTTTAATAACTTTTAAATGTTGATAATTTTGAAAAACCACAATGGCTAACTTCCTTGAAAAATAATTAATTCTAATGTCATTTGTTTCTAATTTTACATTTATTAAACATACTTAACTAAAACGGCAACTCATATCACAGTAATAATTATTTGAAATAGCTTTCTAAAAATTAACTGCTGGATGAATTTGCCTATTTCTATTTTAATATTTTTTAAACTTTAGTCAAACACAGACCCAGTAATATATTAACTGTCAACATTTTATAATGTAAAGTAATAATTTTAGCATAACTTTTGTCATAAAATATGGATTCCAAGAATATACAAAAATATTAAATTATAGTAGAGTTTATGTTATCATCAAGGTTATATACAAAGGTTATATTATGATCAAAGCTACTGCTTATAATGTAGAACATTAAAAACTTAAAGAGAACTTGCTAAATTTAAACATAGATAGACCAAAATCAGGTCATTTAAATATAACTATTATAATATTATCAAATTAAGTCTATGTTAAATTTTTTGATGAAGAAACTCCTCAGCATTTATTTTTAATGAAGACTCCTTTGAAGGAAAACATTCAACAACAGATATGAAGAGGTAATACAAAATATGAGTGTTAAGTTCCAGAATAGATGGTGTATTAAGCCATGCATGCATTTCTATAAAGGAATACCTGAGACTGGGTAAAACTTAAGAAAAGAGGTTTAACTGTCTCATGGTTCTGCAGGCTCTCCAGGAAGCACAGCACCAGCAACTGCTTCTGGGGAGGCTTCAAGAATCTTTTTCTCATGGCAGAAGGCCAACTGGGAGCAGGCACATTACATGGGGAAAGCAGGAAAAAGAGAGACAGTGCCGGAGGCGGGCGGTGTGCCACACTTTACAACAACCAGATTTTGTGAGAACTCACTATCAGCCATAAGAGATCCACACCCAAGACCCCACCAGGCCCCACCTCCAACATTGGGAATTACACCTCAATATGATTTGGAGGGGACATCCAACCTATATCAGATGTGTATTAGAGACCATCTACTTCAACAATGTCCATGTATCTAGGTTGGCCAGATAAGGCCTTGAAAGACAATGATTAGGAGTTTTTCCTGAAGTTCCTCTCCTGCAGTTTCCAAACACTCCTGGTGCCTGCAATGTTGAAGGCAGGTCACTGGCACTGACTTGAAGTCTCTGAGTGAAATCCTTTGGCTAAGAAAAACACCGCATGCATTTCACTAGGTATGTAGCTTATTAAAACCAGTGTGTGAAATGCATCAGTGAGAGGACAATATGACATTTCTTGGCCCCAGCTACACTCAGCTGTTCTAAAAGGGGTCTGCTCTTTAATTACCACTGATGAGGCAAAGCAATGAAGTGAGTTACTGCTTAATCATTAGAAGTGCATAGTTGCCTATGGGTTAGTTTGAAAACACTCAAATCATATATAAGAAGAAAGAAAAAAATCTAAAGTAATAGGAAAATTTCCCTTGAAGAGAAGAGGTTACAGGTTTTAAGGTAAGTTGATACAGGATGGACATAACAACAATGCTACTGATATTAATGAAAATTTAGCTCATTCCCATATTTTCTGTCATGTCTCCTAAGTGATGTATGATTGTAGGGTAAGACCAAATAACTGCCCTCTATAGCTTCAGAATTACAGATATATAGAGAGATCAAACAATCCATTAACTGTACACAGCACAGACTTGCAGTCTCTGGTTCAGCATATAAGGAACTGGAAATCATTGATCCAGTCTTCACACACAAAAAAAAGCTGAATAAACTGAAAATCAACAACTATTTTTAGATCCATTAGAGCAGTGATCCCCAGTCTTTTTGGCACCAGGGACCCTTTCATGGAAGACAATTTTTTCCACGGATGGGGTGCCAGGGGAAGTGACTTTGCAATGAAACTGCTCCACCTCAGATCATCAGGCATTAGTTAGATCCTCATGAGGAGCACACAATCTAGGTCCCTCACATGCACAGGTCACAGTAGGGTTCATGCTTCTATGGGAATCTAACGCCACTGCCACCAATCTGACAGGAGGTGGAGCTCAGAAGTTAATGCTCGCTCACCTGCCCCTCACCTTCTGCTGTGCAAACTGGTTCCTAACAGGCCATGGGCCCAGAGCTTGGATACCCCTGCATTAGAGAATTGAGGTCATAGGACAAACTGCTGCCTCTAAAACTGAAGAAAGAAAGAGGGGGACACATGGAACCACAATGTACTAGAACAGAAGACCAGGGAAAGGTACTCCTGCAGGAACTAAGACAAGGGTAGAAAATCCTAAACTGTAATTGATCAACTGCTGGAGGCTCAGGGTGAATAAGTTTGAAAGTTAAATACTCTGAAGGTTGAGGGGAGGAACTCTTTTGAGGACACCCAGAGTTTCATGAGTTTTACTTCCAGAAGTCTCATCAAGTTCTCTATCTATCTAGATATCTATCTATCTAACTATCTATCTATCTATCTATCTATCTATCTATCTATCTATCTATCTACCTAAGACAGCATCTCGCTCTGTTGCCCAGGCTGGAGTACAGTGGCGCGATCTTGGCTCACTGCAAACTCCGCCTTCTGGGTTCAAGCAATTCTCTGCCTCAGCCTCCTGAGTAGCTGGGATTACAGGCACCCGCCACCACGCCTGGCTAATTTTTGTATTTTTAGTAGAGACAGGGTTTCACCATCTTGGCCAGGCTGGTCTTGAACTCCTGACCTTGTGATCCACCCACCTTGGCCTGCCAAAGTGCTGGGATTAAGGGGTAAGCCACTGCGCCTGGCCCCATCAAGTTCTTATAATGAAGATCAGAGGAACATTCCCTTCTGTTTCTGGTAGGAGAGGGGAAATAGCTATTTTGAAACATACCAAGAACATTCTGTTCTTGTCAGTGAGGCCTGCCCTTAAGGCAAACTATTTAAAGAGAGCTTAACTGACTGCAGCGTACCACAGCCTAACAAAAGTATAGGAGGGAAAATATAAAACCCCATCCCCTCTAGTTCTCCATGGGGGAGAAGGGAAATAACCAGTTCCAGGCATTCCAGCCTTCTTGTTTCATCCAAGAAGGAGAAAAAAGAAAAAAAAAATGCTGAGAGGCAATTGTAAAGGACACAACTCAGGGCACAGTCTCGCTAAAAGACTGAGACCTAATCATAACCCCATTTAAAAATTTCTTCTATTCACAAATTACCCTGTCAAAGGCATTGTTATAGCAGCCCAAATGGCCTGGTATAGCATTATATAATGTTCAAGAGACGTAGCAATCATTTATGTGTATGCACCTAACAACAGAGCATCATTTGAGGCAAAAGCTCACAGAATTGCAAAGGGAAATACTTGCCAATTTACTAATGAATTTACTATTATAGTTAAAGATGCCAAGATTCCTCTCTCAGTAATTGGCAGATCAGAGGGCAGCAAACCAGTCAGGCAGTAGTTGAACTTAACAGCATCAATCAACTGGGTCTAATTTACATTTATAAAGTACTTCACCCAGAAACAGCAGAATACACACTCTTCTCAAGCTCACACAGAATATTTATGAAGATTGACAACATTCTGAGCTATTAAACAAACTGTAGCAAATTTAAAAGAATAGAAATCATACAATGTATGCTCTTAGAACACAATGGAATTAAACTAGAAGTCAATAACAGGGAGATAGCTGAAAAATCCTGTTTGATATTATACTACACAATTTTCTTTTTATTATAAATTATTTTATTTTTATTTCTCAAATGCCCAATTCCCAAATTGTCATTAGATATATTAGATAGATTTTTAATTATGCATAGTCAGGAAATTATTTTTATTTTTTCCTTTAGTATGATTATCATTTTTTTATTATACTTTAAGTTTTGGGATACATGTGCAGAACCTGCAGGTTTGTTACATAGGTATACACGTGCCATGGTGGTTTTCTGTACCCATCAACCCGTTATCTACATTAGGTATTTCTCTTAATGCTATCCCTCCCCTATCCCCCACCCCAACAGGCCCCAGTGTGTGATGTTCCACTCCCTGTGTCCATATGTTCTCATTGTTCAACTCCCACTTATAAGTGAGAACATGTGCTGTTTGGTTTTCTGTTCCTGTGTTAGTTTGCTGAGAATGATGGTTTCCAGCTTCATCCATGTCCCGGCAAAAGACATGAACTCATCCTTTTTTATGGCTACATAGTATTCTATGGTGTATATGTGCCACATTTTCTTTATCTAGTCTATCATTGATGGGCATTTGGGTTGGTTCCAAGTCTTTGCTATTGGGAATAGTGCTGCAATAAACATACATGTGCATGTGTCTTTATTTATTTTTTATTTTATTTTATTTTTTCAGATGGAGTCTCACTCTGTCGCCAGGCTGGAGAGTGCAGTGGTGCAGACTTGGCTCACTGCAACCTCTGCCTCCTGGGTTCAAGTGATTCTCCTGCCTCAGCCTCCCAAGTAGCTGGGACTACAGGTGCCTGACACCACGCCCAGCTAATTTTTTGTATTTTTAGTAGAGACAGTGTTTCACCATGTTTGCCAGGATGGCCTTGAGCTCTTGACCTTGTGATCCACCCACCTCAGCCTCCCAAAGTGCTGGGATTATAGGCGTGAGCCACCACACCCGGCCATGCATGTGTCTTTAAAGTAGAATGATTTATAATCCTTTGGGTATATACCCAGTAATGGGATGACTGGGTCAAATAGTATTTCTGGTTCTAGATCCTTGAAGAATCACCACACTGTCTTCCACAATGGTTGAACTAATTTACACTCCTAACAACAGTGTGAAAGCATTCCTATTTCTCCAAATCCTCTCCAGCATCTGTTGTTTCCTGACTTTTTAATGATCACCATTCTGGTGTGAGATAGTATATATAATTGTGGTTTTGATTTGCATTTCTCTAATGACCAGTGATGATGAGCTTTTTTTCATATGTTTGTTGGCCTCATAAATGTCTTCTTTTCAGAAGTGTCTGTTCACATCCTTTGTCCATGGTTCGATGGGGTTGTTTCTCTTTTTTCTTGTAAATTTGTTTAACTTTCTTGTAGATTCTGGATATTAGCCCTTTGTCAGATGGATAGATTGCAAAAATTTTCTCCCATTCTCTAGGTTGCCTTCACTCTGATAATAGTTTCTTTTGCTTTGCAGAAGTCCTTTAGTTTAATTAGAACCCATTTGTCAATTTTGGTCTTTGTTGCCATTGCTTTTGGTGTTTTAGTCATGAAGTCTTTGACCAGGTGGATTCACACACGAATTCTACACAATTTCCAATAACACAAAGGTCAACGAAGTTCCAAGAGAAATTTTAAAATATTCTATTTCAATTAAAAATTAAAAATAAAATATGCTTAATCAAAGTATATGGGATGAAGTGAAGCAGTGCTTAGAGGAAAATTTTACAGCATTGAATGCATATAGTTTAAAGTAAGAAAAACTGGAAATCAATAAAAAGTTGATTCTTTGAAAAGACTAATAAAATTGCTAAACCTCTAGCCAAGTTACCTGAGAAAAAAAGAGAGAAGACCCAAAGCATTAATATTGAAAATGACAAAAGAACCATCACTACTGATCCCATGAATTTTAAAAGGGTAATGAAAAATATTATTATCATCATTATTATTATTATTATTGAGACAGAGTCTTGTTCTGTCACCCAGGCTGGAGTGCAGTGGTACTATCTCGGCTCACTGCAACTTTTGCCTCCCAGGTTCAAGCGATTCTCCCACCTCAGCCTCCTGAGTAACTGGGATCACAGGTGCCCACCATCATGCCTGGCTAATTTTTGCGTTTTTAGTAGAGACAGGTTTCACCATGTTGGCCAGGCTGGTCTCGAATCCCTAACCTCAAGTGATCTGCCCACCTCAGCCTCCCAAAGTGCTGGGATTACAGGTGTGAGCCACCGCACCCAGCCAAAAAATATTATTAACAATATATACCATATATTTGATAATCTAGATGTAATTGACCAATTCCTTGAAAGGCACATCTACTGAAATTTACACAAGAAAAAACAGATAATCTGACTACACCTATATCTATTAAAGAAATTCAATCAATTATTAATAACCTTTCAAAACAAAACCATAATACAAAACCAGACAAAAACATTACTAGAAAGGAAAACTACAGACCAACATTTCTCATGAAGATAGATGCAAAAATTCTCAAAAAGTATTAGCAAATTAAATTCAGCAATGGAAGAAAAGAATAATATACCATGATCTGGTAGGATTTATTCCAAGTATGCTAGGCCAGTAAACATTGGAAAATCAATTAATGTAATCCATCATATCAACAAGCTACAGAATAAACATTAAATAATTATATCAATACATGCAGAAAAGAATATGATGAAAAGCAATACCCATTCATGATGACAACTGTTAGGGAACTAGGAATAGAAGGGAACTTCATATTGATAAAGAATATTGACGAAGAACCTATAGCTAATATCATCCTTAATAGTGAAAAACTAGCCATTTTCCTACTAAAATCATGAACAAGCAAGGATGTGTGCTCTCACAACTCCTATTTAACATCATACTGGAAGTCCTTGGTAGCATAATAATAGAAAAAAGGGGGGAAAAAAGCATACTAATTGAGAAAGAAATAAAACTGTTCATAGATGACATGATTGTCTCTGTAGAAAATCAACCAATAATCAACCAAAAAACTTCCTGGAAGTGAGAAGCAATTAGAGAAAAGTTGCAGGATGCAAGAATAATATGCAAATTTAGTTATTTTTTATATAGCAGGAATGAACAATTGAAATTCAAAATTTAAAACAATAAAATTTATATTAGCACCAAAAAAGAAATATATATTTATAAATCTAACAAAAAAGTACATGATATCTATGAAGAACACTACAAAACTGATGAAAAATCTCAAATATAGATAAATAGATGTTATTTCATGAGGAAGACTCAATATTTTCAAGATGTAAGTTCTTCCCAACTTAATTTATAGATTCAATCAATCATAGTCAAAGTCCTAGCAAGTTATTTTGAGGATACTGAGAGGCTCACTTGGAAGTTTAAAAGGAAAGTCAAAGACTCCGAATAACCAACACAAGGTTAAAGGAGAAGAACAAAGCCAGACAACTGACACTACCAGACTTTAGACATCATATAAGGCTATAGTAATCAAGACAATGTAGTATTTGTGAAAGAATAGACACACTGATAATGGAATAGAATAGAGAGCCCAGAAACAGACTCACACAAATAGAAGTAACTGATATTTGACAAGGAATCAAAGGCAATCCAATGCAGAAAGGATAATGCAGAACAACTACACCCACAAACAAGCAAACAAAAAAAAAAGAATCTAGACACAGAGTATACATGTGTTACCAAAATTAACTCAAAATTATTCATTGAATTAAAAGTCAACTGCAAACTATAAAACTTGTAGAAGATAACATAGGGGAAAATCTAGTGGCTTTGGGTGTTGCACTGAGTTTTTACATATATTGCCAAAACCAGGAACCATAAATGGGAAATTGGTAAGTTGGACTTTGTTAAATTAAAAACTTCTATGTAAATGACACTGTTAGGAGAATGAAAAGACAAGCTAGAGACCAAAGAAAATATTCTAAAACACATATCTGATAAGGCCTGGTATTCAAAATATATAAAGAACTTTAAAAACTCAAAAATAAGAAAATAAACAACCTGATGAGAAAAATGGATGAAACATCTAAATAGAAACCTCCCTAAAGAATCTATTCAAATGGCTAATGGCATATAGAAAATACTCAAACTCATTTGTTATCAGGGATTTTCAAATTAAAACAAAAATGGGATGACACTAAACATCTTTTAAAATGGCTATTTCCAAATCACTGACATTATCAAACACTCCCGAGGATATAGAGCCACAGGAACTCTCATTCACTATGAAACATTAGAAGATAACAGAGGAGGTTATCTTCTGGTGGGAATGCAAACTGGTATAGCCACTTTGTCAGACAGTTTGGCAGTTTCTTACAAAACTGAACATACTCTTACCATGTGAACCAGCAACTGTACTACTTGATATTCACCCAGATGTGCTGAATGTTTATGTCTACACTAAATGTGCACGTGATTGTTTATAGCAACTTTATTTATAATTGCCAAAACTTGGAAGCAACTAACATGTCTTTGAACTGGTGAATAAACGAACTCTGGCACATCCATAGTATGGAATCTTATTCTGCAATAAGTAAATGAGGTATCAAGCCATGAAAAGACAGAGAGGGGACTTACATGTATATTTTTAAGTGAAATAAGTCAATCTGAAAAGCGTAGTTACTGTATGATTCCAACTATGTGAATTCATGGAAAAGGTAAAACTATGGAGACAGTAAAAAAAAGGGTTTTGGGGGAGAAAGGGATAAATAGGTGGAGCAAAGGGGAATTTTAGGGCAGTGAAACTACTCTGCATGATACTATGGATATAGGTCATACATTTGTCAAAATCCATGAAATGTGCAACCCAGAGTAAGCCCTAGTGTAAACTATAAACTTTAATGATAATGCCTCCATATTGGCTCATCAATTGTAACTAATGTTCCATACTAATGGAAGATGTTAATGATGGATGAAAACTGGGTAGGACAAGGGTAAGTTGAGAGGGATTATATTATACGAAAACTGTTTGTTCTTTCCACTCAGTTTTCCTATAAACCTAAAACTGCTCCAATAATAAAGCTGTTTAATGTTTAAAAGTAAATTTTAAAAATACACAGTACAGAAATGATAGCGCTGGTGAGAGAATTTTCCTTATTTCCTTTGGTTTACTGAGTTGCCTTAGTTGGAAAAACACAAATGTCTCATCAATTTCAATGCCAATTAAAGAAATTATTAAAATAATCACTTGTTCCGTTAATACATTTAGTCACCCTCCTTTTCTCTCCCTCTCTGTCATGCTTTCTATCTCTAATTTTGGACTTTAAAATAAAATCAGTAGCATACCATCATTAACCTTGCTAACATCAACTACTTTCCCCAACTCAATCTTTAGAGACCAAACATCTTTGCCTAATTAGAGGCAAGAATGATCAAAGTACCAGGTACATTAATCTATCAAAGGGGGCACTTTAGAATTAATTTAGTAATAGTTTTCTAGAACTGGGTGCCACAAACACATTGTAAGAATGTCTTTACAATGGTGTAGACGTTTTCTCAAGCTCTGTCTCCCCTACACATTTCCTCTGTATCTTCTCACTACTCTTTGCCTCCTTATGCTCTAGCATAAGGTTACATTGCCAACCCCCTTAAATGCTAGAAACACTCCTGACTTACAGCTTCACATGACTTTTTCTGTTTGAAATGTTTTCCCTCTGACACCTGTATTTGCATGGCCCACCTCC